>NC_000001.11:244517454-244668970 GCF_000001405.40 Homo sapiens | reverse complement strand
AATATGATAAAAGGGAAGAGAAAAAAATTGCAGAAAAATTATCCTCTTAAAATATGGGGGAAGGCAATAACTACAAAAATAAGTACAGTTACTTTTGGGCTCAATCTTGCCTCAATGGAAAAAACTGGCCTAAATATTTTCATTCATTATTTTAAAGTATTGTTTACAGAAACGAATTGATTGTGCTATATTACTGTCATGTTATTCTTCAGATAGAGAACGTTCATTAAACTTCATTTTTGTCAATGATTTGCCCCTCATCAGTTTAATAAAATTTTATGCTTCCTGCTTGAAAGTAACATTGACAAATGCCATCTCTTTTTTCTGTAACTTAAAACACTTAATATAACCACTTAGGGCCTGGGCCTGACTTCCATAAAAGATAGTATTAAATAATCTGGATAAGTATAAGAATAACCATTTCTCCTCAAAAACTAGAATCAGTGTTCATGTTAGAGGTTGAGTGAATTGAAGCAAGTGTTTGACTTATTTCTCAAAAAAGGGTGCTCAGGGAAAAGAAGACATTTCAATTTTTGAGTTTTTAAAAAGCCCCATATCAGTTGTGACTAGTGGAGATCGTGGGCTAATTACTGTCTTTGATGTAAGTTTACACTGTTAAACTACCTTATGAGGTCTTGTTGGTACTAATGCATTGAATCCAAGATAAAAATTGAGAAACACTATTCTAGAAAGACCCCCCTAAATTGTATGTCAGTTTAAATCTCATTTTAAAAAGACAGCATACCAGCAGATCTATAAACAAAGCAACTTTGATTGAACAAAACATAGGTATACCTCTTCTGCTGTGTCCAGAACTTTGCTAGACAGTGGGGATACAAAGATGATTAATTCACAATCCTTGTCCATAAGGAACTCTTAAGTATGTAAATAATCACAATTTGATAAGTGTTAAAACAACAAATGTATACATATAGTCAATACCTCATTTTGTGGATGTCACTCTAAAATGTACTGTCAGCTTTTTCTTTCATAATGAAATAGTCCATGTAAAATACGTAAATTATGTCAGGGATGTTCAGCCAAGTAATTTAACCAAGATCACACAATGAGTGACTACGCTTCAGCACCAGCAATGGCTTGTGTCTTTCAGCCCTCTCACTGGCTGGTCACCTCTGGAGGCCTGCTTCTCTCTGCTATCCTAATGGATCTCCCTAGCCTGTCAGGTGACAGGTGAGAGCCCTAAACCATTGCACTAGTTCAGAGTAAGAGTCAGGACTGAAGAAAAGTTAGGACTGAGGAGGGGGCAGCAAGAGGCTGTATTTGACCTTTTCCTCCTTGGTCAAGCCTGCTTCTGTTATAGCAAGAGGCAGTGTAATGCAGTTTGTGGTACAACCTGGAATCAGGATGCATGGATTTGTATCCTACCCCCTTTTTAGCTGTGTGGCCTTGGGAAAGTTAGTTAACTTATCTGTGCCTCTCTAAAATGGGAATAGTAATAATACCTAGCATACAATATCATTGTAAGGATCATGTGAGTCATTTTAACCCACCTCTTTCATCAGCGTGACCTGGATGTGAGACCCGGAGTCAAAGGAGAACATTTTGCAGCTGTAAAATTTGACTGCCCCACTGGATTTTGGACTTGCATGGGCCCTTTAACCCCTCTGTTTTGGCCAATTTCTCCCATTTGGAATGGCTGTATTTATCCAATACCTGTATCCCCATTATATCTAGGAAGTAGCTAGCTTGCTTTTGATTTTACAGGCTCATAGGAAGGGACTTGCCTTGTCTCAGATGAGACTTTGGACTGTGGACTTTTGGGTTAATGCTGAAATGAGTTAAGACTTTAGGGGACTGCTAAGAAGGTATGATTGGTTTTGAAATGTGAGGACATGAGATTTGGAGGGACCAGGGGTGGAATGATATGGTTTGGCTATGTCCCCAGCCAAATCTCAACTTGTATTGTATCTCCCAGAATTCCCATGTATTGTGGGAGGGACCCAGGGGGAGGTAATTGAATCATGGGGGCCAGTCTTTACCATGCTATTCTCGTGATAGTGAATAAGAATCACGAGATCTGATGGGTTTATCAGGCATTTCCACTTCTGCTTCTTCCTCATTTTTCTCTTGCTGCCACCACGTAACAAGTGCCTTTTGCCACCCGCCATGATTCTGAGGCCTCCCGAGCCACATGGAACTGTAAGTCCAATTAAACCTCTTTTTGTTCCCAGTTTCAGTTATGTCTTTAAAAAGGAACTAATATAGACACTGCGTCTGCCCTCAGGGTCACTACAGAGTGGGAAACTTAAAAAATCCTTATTGCTGTATTATTGTTTGATACCCACAGATAAAAGAGCAACAGGTCAGAATGAATGAGACTGATTAAAACAGTTCTTGTTCACTTATTTGTTAGGCTTAAAAGTAATATATTTCTAAAGAAGTTCATTTAAAAAGACAAACCTTCAGCTTGAGAACACGATACAATATGGTTGATGGTTAATAGAGATAAATATTAAAGTATATCACTAATTCTCCTCAGTTTGAATGAATGGGGACTATAAAATATAGCATATTCATTCACTGATTGGAGTGATAGAGTAGAAAGTAAAAAAAAACTGATGAGGCAGAAAAGAGTGGTGACAATTCTGAAAGAGAAGTCCTTGTATAGATAGGAGAGAGGATGGGTTCTAGTACACAGCGGAAGGTTTCATCTCAGATAGAGACATGGACAATTCATTCCATATGATCAGAGAGAACGCAGACTACATATGGTAAAACAGTGGTGGTGGAAGGATGAGAAAACTGCCTTTTCTTTTCTCTTCAGTGAAATAAGCTGTGAGGTAATCTCTGAAAATAAGCTGAGAGTAGGGAATGGGGAGAAAGTATGACATATTGTAGTTGTCTCGGAGAGTGGGAATGTCAACTGACCAGAGAAATAAGGAAGCACTGCTAGACAGTATTTAGGGCCCTCTTGGGGTTTGTGGTCACAATTGTAAAGTGAGATCTGTCACTATGGTTGTTTTTCTCTAGCCCTATTCAGCTGCCGCGGTGTAGATGGTGAGCTGATTTTAACTACGGAGACAAGTATGACAGAGGGAGTGACTGTAACAGTAGACTGCAGAATAGCCCAGATGAAGAGGGGAGCAAAGAAGTGATTATTTTAAGGAACTGGCTCACACAACTGTGGGGCTTGATAGATCTGAAATCTTCAGAGTAGGTCTGCAGGATGCAGATTCAGGGAAGAGGTGATGTTGCAGCTTGTCTGGAGCCAAAATTCGTTCTTCCTTGGGGAACTTAGTTTTTCTTTTAAGGCCTTCAACTGACTGGATGAAGCCCATCCATATTTTGAAGGGTAATTTCTTTACTCAAAATCTATAAAATTGTTACATCTAAAAAGCACCTTAGCAGCAACATCTAGACTGGTGTCTGACTAAAACTGGGTACCATGGTCTACTCAAGTCGACACATAGCATTAACTATGACAGAAATAGTCACAGAAAAGATTTAGGAGGCAGGGCAGTTTTTAGATCACTGTATATCCATGAGTGCCACAGAGTGCAGAAGTTAGTTCAGGGAGGGGTGTAAGATGAGGACAAACAAAAAGAGAATCAGCATATTTCTGGGTTATGGAGGGGATGAGATGAGGAAAAAGAAATACAGCATGACAGTTAGGAGCGCAGATTTTAGTGTTAAGAGCTCTTGTTCAAGACTGTGCTCTACCACTATGGCGTGACTCTGAGCTTGCTTTTCAACTAGGCCTCAGTTTCATCAACTTAAAAAGGGATAATAATATAAGGAAATGGCTTAGTATAGTGGCATACTGAAAACACTAAAAAAAAAAAATCAGGTATTAATATCGGAAGATTCAATATCAAAACTGATATCAAAACTTGCTGGAAGAGACTAGTATAATTCAACATCTAATAATGGTGCAGGAAGAGGCAGAAATGAATAGCACAGACAGTCTTCAAACAGACCTAAATATCCATGATAATTTAGTACAACATAAACATAGTATGTGCCACAAATTAACATGGGGAAGCATGGATTATTCAATAAACAGCATTGGGATAACTGGCATTCCACTTGGGAACAAACATGTAGATTATTTCTATCATTTTTTGCAAGGAAAAATCTAGGGAAGGACTGGAAGATGAAAGGTTATAAAAGACCAACAGTTTTGACCACATAGAACAAAATTTCTGTAAGGCAAAGGACACTTATAAATACACTTACCAAGCTTAATAGGGGATTTTAATTTATTTACTGTCATTTCATAACTTATATGCTTGGTCCTATTTGTATTTATTTTTGAGACAGGGTCTTGCTCTGTTGCCCAGACTGAGTGCAGTGGCACAATCATGGCTTACTGCAGCCTCGACCTTCTGGGCTGAGGCAATCCTCCCATCTCAGTCCCTTAAGTAGCTGGAATCACAGGCATGGGCCTGGCTAATTTATTTATTTTTTGTAGAGATAAGGTCCCACTACCACCCACCTCAGCCTCTCAAAGTGCTGGGATTACAGGCCTGAGCCACAGTGCCTGGCCTTGACTTCATTTCATATTGAACTTTTCTCTGTTTTTTCTATTACACCATATGGATTACGTCTTCGTTGCTCTTTTCCCTGTAGGTTTGATTTTCTCCCAATAATACATCTTAATGAAAAAAATTAACACATACACTCAAATATAATCTTCCAAAACAAGAATTAAGTATATTTACAACACACGTCCTTCTATATAGGGCTGCTACAAGCTTTTACCTCTTCTCTCTCACCCAAGGTTTGTTCAACATAACCTGAAAACTTAATTTTTAAAAATCATCATGCTTGTTCTCTTCAAAGAGTAATTCTGGACACTGGCCCTGTTTTTAACCACAGTTATAAGATTTAGCTATGTTAAATGAGTATTGATGGCCATGGCCTTTCCTTTTAGTGTAACCACCCCATTGTTAAGTTCTTAAATAATTTTTTTTTTTTTTTTTTTTTTTTCCTGAGACGGAGTCTCACTCTGTCGCCCAGGCTGGCGTGCAGTGGCGCAATCTCGGCTCACTGCAACCTCCGCCTCCCAGGTTCACGCCATTCTCCTGCCTCAGCCTCCCGAGCAGCTGGGACTACAGGCGCCCGCCACCACGCCTGGCTAATTTTTTGTATTTTTAGCAGAGATGGGGTTTCACCGTGTTAGCCAGGATGGTCTCGATCTCCTGACCTCATGATCCGTCCACCTTGGCCTCCCAAAGTGCTGGGATTACAGGCGTGAGCCACCGTGCCCGGCCAAGTTCTTGAATAATTTTTTAACCCCCAGAAAGGTATCTACATATTGTCTATGTCCTTTTGTACATGAATGACAACTGGAGAAGCTATAGTATTCAGACATAAATCTTTTCCCTTTTAATACTCTGTAGATAATGCTCTACTTTATTATTCAGCCTTTGGTATAAGCAAAGAGAAGTCTGAAATTAGCCTGATTTTGTTCCCGTGTAACTTTTTTGCCTTTGTGTATTTGTAGGATTTTTTACTTTATTCTTAAAATTTGCAGCCAGGTGCGGTGGCTCACGCCTGTAATCCCAGCACTTTGGGAGGCTGAGGTGGGCGGATCACGAGGTCAGGAGATCGAGACCATCCTGGCTAACATGGTGAAACCCCGTCTCTACTAAAAATACAAAAAATTAGCCGGGCGTGGTGGCAGGCGCCTGTAGTCCCAGCTACTCAGAAGACTGAGGCAGAAGAATGGCGTGAACCCAGGAGGCGGAGCTTGCACTGAGCCGAGACGGATGCCAGCCTGGGCGACAGAGCGAGACTCCATGTCAAAAAAAAGGAAAAAAAAAAACTGCAAGTTAAACCAGGCTTTGGTTGAATGGTCCTAACTTTTAAAAAGTTTTGCCTATCACTTGATCCTTTTGACCCTTCTACTTGAATTTCTGACTTTCTAAATCTTGTTGTTTTCTCTTTAGTTCCCAATCTAACTCCCTTTCTAGTTAAAAATTAGGAAATGGTGCTTTTCATTTTTGTGGAATCTATCCTAATCCCAGATTTTTCCCTTTCTGGTGGTACTGCTTGTTCTATTTTCAATGATCCTACTGAATCTACCTGAGAACTTAAATCAACAATTCCTTAAAAACTTCTCTTGTTTCTTGCTGTACATTTACTTAACAGGTAGCATGTGGCCCGATTTACAGCCTTGATGTTTGCTTACCCTCTGTCTGGAACACTTTCTCCTTTCTACATGGTATACTTCACCTTTCAGGAATGCCTTCTTAGTGAGGCCTTTCTTGACCACTCTCTTTGAAACTGCAGTAACCGGTAACTATACCATCCTGACTTACACTGTCCCTCCCCTTCTTTGCTTTACTTTCCTCTTTAGCACTAATTACCACTTACTATCTCATATATATTTTATTAGCTTTATTCTGTTTAATAGACAGTTTAGATAGATGAGTTTGGCATTATTTAACTATTTTCTGGATAAAAATTTCAAAAAACAAAAAACATCCTGTTTTCATCAATGGGGGTGGAGGGAAGAATATGATAGAAAAGATGTCAGTTCTTCCCAAGTTAATTTATAAGTTTAGTGCAAGCCCAATTAAAAAAATCTATGGACTTCTGGGTATATATCCAAAAAAATCGAAAGCAGGACTTGAATAGACATTTTTATTTTTATAAACCCATGTTCACACACCATTATTCATAACAGCCAAAGGATGGAAGTAACCTGTGTCTAATGACACTGAAAATTAGCTTGATTTAGAAAAAAACAAACAACCCCATCAACAAGTGGGCAAAGGACATGAACAGACACTTCTCAAAAGAAGACATTTATGCAGCCAAAAGACACATGAAAAAATGCTCATCACTGGCCATCAGAGAAATGCAAATCAAAACCACAATGAGATACCTTCTCACACCAGTTAGAATGGCGATCATTAAGAAGTCAGGAAACAACAGGTGCTGGAGAGGATGTGGAGAAATAGGAACACTTTTACACTGTTGTGGGACTGTAAACTAGTTCAACCATTGTGGAAGTCAGTGTGGCAATTCCTCAGGGATCTAGAACTAGAAATACCATTTGACCCAGCCATCCCATTACTGGGTATGTACCCAAAGGATTATAAATCATGCTGCTATAAAGACACATGCACACGTATGTTTACTGCGGCACTATTCACAATAGCAAAGACTTGGAACCAACCCAAATGTCCATCAATGATAGACTGGATTAAGAAAATGTGGCACATACACATCATGGAATACTATGCAGCCATAAAAAATGATGAGTTCATGTCCTTTGTAGGGACATGGATGAAGCTGGAAACCATCATTCTCAGCAAACTATCACAAGGACAAAAAACCAAACACCGCATGTTCTCACTCATAGGTGGGAATTGAACAAGGAGAACACTTGGACACAGGAAGGGGAACATCACACACTGGGGCCTGTGGTGGGGTGGGGGGAGCGGGGAGGGATAGCATTAGGAGATATACCTAATGTGAATGATGAGTTAATGGGTGCAGCACACCAACACGGCACATGTATACATATGTAACAAACCTGCACATTGTGCACATGTACCCTAGAACTTAAAGTATAATAATAAAAAAAAAGAAAATTAGCTTGATTTCTGTGGCATATACATACACAGTGGAATATTACTCAGCCTTAAAAAGGAAGGAAATTCTGATACATGCTGCAACATAGATAAACCCTGAGGACTATGCTAAGTGAAATAAGCCAGTCACAAAATAAATACTGTATTATTTCACTTAAATGAGGTTATCTAGTCAAATGCACAGAGACAGAAAGCAGAATGATGATTACCAGGGACTGAGGGGAGGGAGAAATGGGGAGTTGTTGTTTAGTGGGTATAGAGTCTCAGTTTTGCAAGATAAAAAAGTTCTGAAGACTGGTTGCACAAAAATGTGAATATACCTAACACAGTAGATTGTATAGTTAAAAACGTAAATTTTATGTTATGTGTATTTTAACACAATTAAAACAAAACAAAAACCTATGGAATTTTTTTCAGCGAGCCTTACAAAGTACTCCTAGAAAAGGAAATGAAGGCCAATAAAGCTTTGGAATAATAGTAAAGGGAAACTGGCCTAATCAGATTCCAAATATAACGTGAAAGTATAATAATTAAAACAGTGTGGTAATAAGGCTAGAATCAACAATTCCGTATGGGTAAGAATTTAGTATTATGATTAAGGATGACATCACAATTTAGAGAGGAAAGACTTATTTCAAATAATGTGGGGCCAATTAGTTGATTTTTAATTTATTGTTTTTAAGTTACTGTCACATCTATACCAAAATACATTCCAGATAAACTAAAACAAAATTATTTTCATGCATCCCATTGTCCTTTTATTATTATTTTTGCCTTTCTTACAGTTTAAGATTATTTTGGCAGTTTCTCACTTTACATTTTATGAACCAACTGGCTGACATTTACACAATAATGTTGCTTTGGAATTCAAATAATCTTGTAGAGAATTCGACAGTCAACAAACGGAAAGTGTAAGTACATCCCATCTTAAGAAAAATCCGACCGGGTGCGGTGGCTCACGCCTATAATCCCAGCACTTTGGGCGGCCGAGGCAGGTGGATCATGAGGTCAGGAGACTGAGACCAGTGTGGCCAACATGGTGAAACCCTGCCTCTACTAAAAATACAAAAAAACTAGCTGGGCATGGTGGCGCACGCCTGTAGTCCTAGCTACTCTGGAGGCTGAGGCAGGAAAATTGCTTGAACCCAGGAGGCGGAGGTTGCAGTGAGCAGAGATGGCGCTGCTGCACTCCAACCTGGGCGACCTCTGTCTCAAAACAACAACAACAACAACAAAACAACAACAAAAAAAGAAAAATCCATAAAACAAAGAATTCATCTAAATAGTAGGCTCTCTGGTATTTTTAAAGTATCTGATTTACAAGTTTCAAATGTTTTGTTAACTTTATCCACCATTATAAATGTGACCATGGAACTGATATACACTGGAACGGTATGCCACTGCAAGTCTGAAGGGGTTTTAGTCACCAATACGCTTGGACCCTACTGGCATCTGAGTTGTATTTTTCAAATACTTCAAATTTTCCAGCTTAAGTTACTAGGTCAATATTTATTCTATGCCAAGTCGAGTGACTGCTATGATGAAACAATTTTTAACTGAACATTTTTGGGTTTACAAAACACCTTTCATAGATGGCACTGTGGCAGAATGACTCCCCAGAATGTTCCCAGAACCTGTGAACATGTTACATAGCAAAGAGACTTTGCAGATGTCATTGAAATTATGGACCTCAATATCAGGAAATTATCCTGGAATATCTGGGTGGGTCTCAATTACCTGGCCTCTTAAAAACAGAAAACTTTCTGTGGCTGGAGGTAGGACAGATGTGGAGGAAAGTGAAGTCAGAGATATTTGAAGCATAAGGATTCCACACACCATTGCCGGTCTGAAGATGGAGGACTGCATGACACTTGAAGCAACTGAGAGAGGATCCCAGCTGACAGCAGGAAGGAATGGGACCTCAGACCTACAAATATAAGCAACTGAATTCTGTTAACAATCTGAATGAGCTTGGAAGCAGATTTGCCCCCAGAGCCTAACACCTTGATCTTGGGCTTGTGAAGACTATAGCAGAGGAACTGGGCTAACCCACCTGGTCTTCTGATTTACATAAGTGTGAGATGATAAATTTGTGTTGTTTTAAACTACTAAGTTTTTGGCAACTTGTTATTGCTGCAATAGAAAACAAATGTACATATGTATGGAAACTGAATTCTTTTCTCATACATACTAGCTTCCCCCACCCCCTTCCCCCCTAAAAAAGAAAAGAGGACAATGCCATAAATAATGTAGGAGGGCAGATGTACAACTGTCCTTTTGCTTAGCTAGACTCATGGGTCACTATTTGCCCAAGAAGCATATTGATACAAGTAAATTAAGGTAAATTCCTTACCGTTTAAAAAAAAAAAAAAAGATGGATGACCAGCTCCTATTATTCCTATTAACTAGTTAATTTATGTTAAAATTCAGGAACTGACAATGTTTTCGGAAAGATTATCTTCCAAAGAGTAATTAAGATCCAATTTCAAGAAATAAACTTATTAAAAACATTTCCTCAGTCTAGTCCCATAGTATTTTAAGTTTTGTCAAAGAAAACTATTTGATTTTTTTCTGTCCCATTCCTATAATCCTCCCCTCCCCTTCATCTGGACACCCTAGTCCAACAATCAAAGCTAAAATCTAGCAATGCACTTAAGCAAAGGTACAAGAAAAAAACACCAGAAATAGGCATTTGGCACAAAGAGGAAGATCACATGATCTTTTCATGCCATTTAAGTTACTGGCAACTCTCCTAATAAAAACCAGCTAAAGCCCCACTCATTGAGCGGATATTTCTAGAACACCATCTAGTGACAGGCCCTGTTCTAGACACTGGTCATAGTATGGCGCTATCGGAGAACTCACAGTCTGGTGGGATGCACGGGATAGTATACGCAGTAATGGAGACAGGCACGAAGCACAACTAGGGCATAGGAGTTCACTCAAGTCTCAGGAATAAAGACTAAGCTACAGCCAGAAGGAGCAAGCAGGAGGTTGCAGGTGATCAATGCTGGACAATGCCACTCCAGACAGAAGGATGGGCATGCATAAAGATATGGGGATGTGATATAGCCTGTTTGGACAGCTAAAAAATTTCACTGTGTGAGAATAAAGACTGTTATATAGAAGAGGGAAATGGACCTTTAACTGTCAGCCAGGGGCCACATCATAAAGTGCATTACACTTTATCCTGGTTATGTTTCAGAAAGGTTACTTTGGTAACAGAATGGAGGAAGGATTAAAATGAAGTAATACTAGAGACTGAAACTCGTAAGGAGGCTATTATATGAATAGAGATGAGGGCCTGAACTTGAGAAGCATTAGTGGAAATGGGGATAAAGTAACCGATTTAAATAATATCCAGAAAGTAAAATATGTGACAGACATCATAGGTTCCCATCAAACTGCCATTTCCAACTTTTTGCCTTCCTCACCCACAACTCACCATAAAGGTTAGAAACACCAGATATCCACTTACTCAGCTTCATCACAGTTGCACACGAGCCAATTCTAGATAATCTCTTCGGGGAAGGAGTGGGGCTCTGGTAAGTTTTTCCTTTCTATTAAAAGAACAGAGGTGCATGTAGAAAATGACCCTATCTTCTTCCATCTTCCTTCACATACTGCTGACTGAGGATACTATTTGGTGCTTATGGCAGTTACTTTACAATTATGAGAGGACGAACCAAGGGCAACAGCCAACGTGCTGAGGATGGTAGAGTAAAAGGATGGAAAGTCCTGGTTCTTGATGGCACAGCTGAGCTGCTGAACTAATCCAGGGCCTGTTTATCTCTGGACTTAAGTATCCTTCCAGCTTAAGCCACTGACTCTCAAGCTCTCTGTTGCTTTCAGACAGAATCAACCAAACTAAAACAAAGAGACAGGGCCAGCTGACTGACTGTGAAGGGTTTATAATAAAGAAGAATTTAAGTTTACTCCCAGGTTTCCGGTTTGGGAAACTACAACAAAAGTGGTGGCTTTTTGGGCAGTGGCATGGGGCAAGAGGAAGAATGTGCGCTGTGGACAGGAGGAAAGGGAAGAAGTTTGTTCCTGGACATGTTGATTTGAGATACGAAGGAACCATTTAGGTGGGATGTGTGATTCTGGAACTTGTTCAAAAAGTCTGAATTAGATCTGCAGATGTATGAGAAATCGGATCTATCACACCTGCCTGACCTGACACCCTGTTGGAGGAGTCTAATGGAGACAGGCGTCAAAAGAACGGAGTCCAGACAAAAATGTCCTTATTTGAAGTGTCCTAGAAAGTGGTTCTTTTCTATTCTTTAAAGACTTTGAAGATGTATAGGTACTACTTTATAATAAAATTGGTACTGGCTGGGCACAGTGGCTCATGCCTATAATCCCAGAACTTTGGGACGCTGAGGCGGGCGGATCACTTGAGGACAGGAATTTGAGAAAAGCCTAGCCAACATGGTGAAACCCACCTCTACAAAAATACAAAAATTAGCCGGGCATGATGGCAGGTGCCTGTAATCCCAGCTACTTGGCAGGCTGAGGCGGGAGAATCACTTGAACTGGGGAGGCAGAGGTTGCTGTGAGCCGAGATCGCACCACTGCACTCCAGCCTGGGTGACAGAGTGAGAAAACAAATAAATAAAATAAATAAATAAAACTGGTAGAAACTTGTTAACACAATGAATTTGCAAACATTATCAAATACCTGCATATTTTTATTTTATAAAAATTCATTAGTCAAGATAACCTGAAAAGCACAAAATCTGGATCTATGAAAAATGAAGACTTAAAATGACTACACCAGAGATTTGTCTCAGTATTTGAAACTAATCTGAGTCACCTGCTTTGCTATGTGTGCCAGTCAATTAGGAATACGTGAACAAGCTCATTCCCACGACTCAGAAAGTAGCTCCAGGACGTTTTTATTGGTGGTAGATTACTCCAAAGTACACAGAGGAACATAATCACTGATAAGGCAGCAAGCAATAGGAACACTATGCATAATTAAGTAACCTTCTGAGGATCACACTCTTCTTCCATGAGAAGGAAGTTAATACTGGTGACCCCCAATAGAATTATTTTCATGCATACGGCAGAGTTATGGAAGAAAAGAAATGATCCGCAGCAGCCCAATCTAGAAAATAGAAAAATACAATCAGAACTGGAACGGGTGACAATCTAACAAAGAGACACAAGGACACATGGCAAGAGGTCCCTATAACCATGATTATAAGGGCATCCCTAAGGTTGATTTTCATATTTACAGAGTTGGAACCAGACAGCTGATGTACTAGGCCTATACAGACAACAGCAACCCTCATCCAAAGCATCTCTGATGAATAGGAAGAATTACCAAAGATAAAAGGAATTTACCCTTGGCATCAAACAAAAATATTTCAAAAACCAAAACTGACTTGAGAAAAATTAGTATAACAGACCAAAATTTGTATCTCAATCTAAACAACTGATCACACTGTTCCCCTCCATGAAAACCTTAAATGGTTCTGCTGGCTCAAGGAGCCCCCTCAGCCCTTCACCCAAGCCCACAACACATCTGACTAAAGAAGTTCTAATCAAACTTTCAGTTTTGTCTCCTTTCATTTATGCTCTACTCTAGTTATACTGGACCAGCTGATAGTTCCCAAATCCCACCTGCGCTTTCCCTATTCCTGCCATTTTGTTCACGTCAATTGTTCTCTGTCCTTGTGGATGCTACCCATTCTTCAAGTTTCATACCTTTGATTTTTCAGCATTCCCTGATCCTACAACTACATAGTCTCCTCCTTTGCATCCTTGTCTGCTCTTATCAAAACCATGCTATTCTGTCTTGAATTGTTGCCACTGTTGTGTATCTCCTCTACAATACTCTAAATTCCTTAAAGAAGAAAGGACAGTTAACTCATCCTTGTGGCTTCTACCAGGTCAAAAATAATAAGTAATGGTAGGTTGCTGAATTAGTGACATAAAACACTCAAAGCCCTCAAAAGAACATATAAGACCAAGTTTATTAAAAGTCTAATAATTCAACTATTTATCATTCCGATAAACATTCATATGCTTCATCTCCTGTTCACAGGCAAAAGCAATATAAAGACATAAGTGCAGGAATTAGTAGAGAAGATAGTGAATCAGATTTTGGTCTACAAATTCTAGATTGTATTTTTAGTTGTTTAGGCAGATCACTTACTCTCTCCCCTGTCTGCTGCTTCTCTAACTACCTATTTTACAAACTTGATGTGAAGAATAAGATCTCGCTCATTAGTCAATATTTTAACATCGTTCAGAACAGTCCTCCCTTCGAAAATACTGAATACCATCTCTAGCTTTTCCCAATCGACCACAATTTGCAGATTTTCCTGTATCACAGAATGCCTCAAGTGTAAAGAAGCCCACTATATGCCAAAACATGCATTTTCGTTTTCATATAAAAGGTAAAACTCTCTTCCTCTATTCTCACAAATTCTTTTAGGCTCTGAAACCATGGCTTCTGGCCACTGTATACTCCTAATTTAAATACGGGTTTGTTTAATAATCTAGGAGAAAAGGCACACTGTGATCTCAAGAGCAGAATATATTCTGAAAGACAGTAATAGCCCTCATGAATAAAAAACAAACCAAATTCAGATTAGGGGGATGTGCACAGAGAAAGTAAAAGGGCAGTTAAGAGTCTTGAAAGATAAAGGTGTTCAGCTGAACACAAAAAGTTTAAATCCAGAGAATTATTTCTCAACCAGTGACACAGGCCACAGAACTTACAAAGTGCCATGGTTTTCTAGGATCTTTTGTTTGGCTTATTCTCCTCTTCAACTTTTTCTGTCCTGTTCCACTTTTCTCAGCATGTTAACTCATCTCCTTTCATCTCCAGGCTCACATCAGAATTCAACAGAGGACTCATCTCAAGTGGCAGGCAGTTCCTACACCCTTCTGACACAATTCCCAGATATGGCATGAGAAATCCCACTCTACCCAAGATATAATAACACTGTAAATTTAGAAACTTATAAATAATACAAGGGAATACAAAGTTTAGAACTGTATAAGACTCTTGGCCTGTAGTATTTCTGCTCTCCTGCATCTTTAAGCCAACAAAAATAACGACGGGCAATTTTTCATTTGTCAGTCAACTTACAAGGAATTTTAAGCACTGCAGTCAGAGGTACTAATCCAGTCTACAGAACAAAAACCCATTCTACAGAACAAAGCAAGCAAACACACCCAAACATGCATCTAACTGCAACGACAATTCTCTACCGGGTGCTTTTTTCTGGGGGCATTTCACTGCAAAAATCAGGCAAACCAGTTCTTGGACTCGATTCTGCGTGCTTGCCATACTCCAAAGTTAGATGATACAATAAACAACTTCTTCCCTTCCCTCTCCCGTGGTCACGTCACCTGTTGCATCACCTGGAAAGTGGTCTTCAGAGTGTAGGAAAGGAGCACCACCAGGATCTCTAAATAATTCAGCTGGGCTATTTTCTTGAGAAATGTTAGCCTCATTCATATTTTAACGAGGTTGCCTTTAACACACAAGGAAAGGGTGTGTTGGCTCCTGTTCACCTTTGAAGAGATTCTAGCACAGGCACCCGAAAGCTGTGACCTTCTGGACTTAGAGGGGCTTGGGAGTTTCTGAAGACGTAGCCATGGAGAGAGACGGACAGTTCGGCAGAAGCAGAGGAGCTGGGAGCGCAGGCGGTCGGGACGGGGGTCCCGGGGCAGCCCCGGGGGCCGGCAAGTGGGGTTGGAAACGCAACGGAAGCTTTGCCGAAAGGACACTGCACGTCGGCCAAGGGGTCGGGCCCAGAGCCGGGGTCGGGTCCAAGCTGAGCGGATGGGAGAGGTTCAAGCCCACCCGAGCTTTGGCCAAAACCCTCGGGCTGACTGGGTTCACCGGAGCGTCGACGAGTGCGAGGATTAAAAAATAACAATACTCCCTCCTTCACCCCCGGCTTCCCCCGAGAACTAGGCTGGAGGCGGAGACGCCAGGCAGGAAGCGCCTGGGGCCGGGGTCCGAGCCCCACGGGCGAGAGGAAGCCGGCCTGGGCCAGGGCTCGGGGCCGCCAGGGGCCGCACTCACCATGTCGTACACGTTGAGCACCACTAACTGGTTAGCCCCCATCCTCCTCCCCGCGGCCGCCGCCTCGTCCTCAAGCCGCTCCGTCTCCGCGGGGCCGGAGGCCGCTCTCACCCCCGCGGGCGCTTCAGGGGGCCTGAGCCGGGCACTAAGCGTACAGCCCGGCCCGCGGCAGCCGGGGCGGAAGCATCGGGCAGCCGAGCCGCTCCCGGGCGCCGCCGACAGGAGCGTCTGTGCGGACGGGGCCGGACCGTTGGCGGCCCGCTCCGGATGAGGCACCTCCCCTAGGCGGCAGACACGTGGGGAAAGGCGGGGCTTGAGCAAGGGGCGGGCGCCAGGCGCCCCGGGGGCGGGGCCGGCCCGGCGCCAGGACTGAGCCCGCCTGCGCTCTGGTTCTCGGCCGGCGCACCTCGGGACCTAAAATGGCGGCAACTCCGGCGCCTCCGCGTCCTGGAGGAACGGGGACCCAGGAAGACTACAGTTCCCAGCATGCAGTGAGGATTCCCCCTTGCTACTATAAGTGCAGAGGCGGAGTCTCAACAGCCCTTCGACTACAACTCCCTGCATGCCGCGGGGGCCCCGGTCCTACCAGACCAGGCCTCCCCGGGAGACTACAACTCCCAGCATGCAGTGCTTTAGAGCTGCGGCAGATCCCTTGCCGCCCGCGGGCGGTGAAATCTCCTACCTTCATTCACCCTCTCATCTCAGGTGCTGCTGCTGTTAGTAGTTCATGTTGCGTTGAGCTCGATGAAGCCAGCGAAATGTGGCAAAAGACCAGAGTGATGACCCTAAGTTTTCCAAATGCTTCCTCACCTTTTATTTGGCAAGGGGAGTGGTGGGGAAATAGAGGAAGACGAGTTACTGGTGTGGGATGAGGTGTAACGTGCATCCAATTAATCCTCAATGTGGAATTTACATTTTGTGAAACTATCCTGCTGAGATGGGAAGGGTACAGTAACCGTAGCTTAGCACAATCCTGGGACGTAGTATGCAGCTCTGCATTAATTCAACAAATGTTTGTTATGTGCTTCCTATGTGCCAGGCAGTGTTGTAGGCCCTCGGGAATGCCGTGATAAACAGGAACAGGGACATACAAAATATCACTGGTATGTGCTTTGCAGAAAATTTAAGTAAGGTGAAGTCATTCTTAAATTGGCTGCACGGGGAAGATCGCTGTAATGAGTTTTAAGCTGAAATGTGAATGACAAAGCCAGCCCCGCAGATATGAGGGGGAGGAGTATTTCAGTCAAAGGGAACAAATGCAAAGATCTGAAGCATGAAGGAGTTTTCTGTATTCAAGGAAACAAAAGATCACTCTTGCTGGGACACAGTAGGCAAGGAGTCGACGGTACTAGATGAGCTGGGCAGGTAGGCAGAGGCCAGATCCCGGAAGGATTTTAAAATTCATAACAGGGGTTGTATTTTAAACGAAGCCATAAGTTTGGACCAGGGAGTGAAATGAGTGTGCGTGTGTTTAAAAATGATTACTTGGGTTGCTGTGTGGAAAATGGATTTCAGAGAGGCAAAGGAGGTGGAAATAGGGAGATGAGTGTGGCAGATTGTGAAAATAGCCACAAATTATTTCCAGTCTCCCAAATTATACTCTTTGGTGGTGTCTACCCCCACTGACTGCACTGGACTGTGACTTGCTGTGGACGTGGGACATTAACATCGTGCAAGCAGAGGCTTAAAAAACACTTGTGAGTTGGGGCTTGCCCTCTTGCTGAACTTGGGAGTCCTGTGACCACCATTTTAGGAATGAGTGTGGGCTAGCCTGATGGATGATGAGGGACACGTGGTCAAGTCACGGCCCACATCCAGCTGACAACCAACCAACTGCGAACATGTGAAGCTCTCCCGGACTATCCTTCCCTGGCCACAACCACATGGATCGGACGAACTGACCAGCCAACCCACAGAATGTGAGAAATAATGTTTTAAGTCACAAAGTTTTGGGGGTGGTTATGTGGCAAAAGTTAATCAAGTCCACCAATTGGATGCTGTTCCAGAAGTGCATGCCAGCAAGTGGCTTCGTTGTGGCTGATAGTGGTGGAGACCGAAATAATTAGAGTTTAAATATTTTGGAGTAAAGTCTGTGGAACTTGCTAATGGGTTAGATGTTGAGTTGGTTAGGGAGAGAGGATTCGAGAATAACTTCTAGATTTTTGACTTGGGGAACTGAGTGGATAGTCCTGGCACTTCTAAGATGTGAAACATTTTGGGGAGGAGCAGGCTGGGGGTAGGGAAATCAAGAGCTATGGTTTGGTCATGCTAAGTTTGAGATGCCTTTTAGACATCCATGACTGCCAAGTAGTAGACATTTGAATAAACTGGAGTCATGGCCATTTATAGACTTGGGGCTTGGTTGGATGACCTAGGAATATGTGTAGCTAAAAAGAAGTGGGCCAAGAACAAAGCTCTAGGACCCTTCACCATGTAGAGGTCAAGTAAAGTATGAAGAGGAAGCACGGAGGCAGGAGGAAAATCAGAAAGAACATGATAACATTGATGTCAAGACTATTGGATTCAGCAATATAGAAATCACTGGTAGCTTTGATGTGAGCGGTCTCTGGGAGGAGTGAGATTTAAATAACTGCTTTAACAGTTTGAGAAGCAAATGTAAGGTGACAAAAGGGAGACAACTTAACTTGGGGGCAACAGCTGGATAAGGCGGTGTGGTCAATGGAGGGCATTTTGAAGATGGGAGATGCTGAGGCATACTTGCATGTAAAGGGAGAAAAATTGATATAGGAGAGGGAAAGATTTGCAAGGGCAAAGAAGGGAGAGGGATCCAGGACACAAGTTAATGGTTGCTGTTTAGTAGGGGGGATGCTTCATCTGTAGTGATGGCATAGAAGGCAGATGCAGGTGCACAGTTACGGCATAGAAGGCACGGAGACGGGTAGGCAGGTTAGAAATACGGGAGTGTAGGAAATGAGGGTGTTTATTCCTGATTTACTTTTACTTTCTCAGTGAATTATGAGGCAAGAATGTCTTCAAAGAGTAAGACGTGAGGAGAGGGGCATAGGGAGTTTGGAGAGACAGAAGGTGATGTAAAATAGAGGAAATAAGTAAACTTGGAAAATATGGTTTGTCAGGTAGTGTTGGGGGACAGTAAATGCTGTGCACATCATTACTTGACTGTCCTCTGGAAGGTTGTTGACAAAGTTCTAAAACCTGTTTTTGGTGCATCAGCTGCCTTGCTTCTCTTTCCTCCCATGGTGTTCCTCCCCACCTTAAGCAATTACAAACTACGTAATCACATCTGCTAAGCCCTTTTTCCTGTGAAAGGTGGGGAAAAGGCACTGTGCATTTGCACCTTATTTAGTCCTGGCTGCAGTCCCCATAGATTCACTTTAACTCTTACTGTACACACTCCCTTTGCCCTTTGTGATCTCATCCACTCTCAGCTGTAACTGTTGCATGTATACTGAAGAGCCGCATGTCTCCATCTTCGGTGCTCTTCTCTCTCCAGAGTGCTAGGCCAGTATAACCTACAGCCTCTTGGACTTCTCTAACAGGATGTGTTGGTTTCCCTTGGCTGCAAATTGCCACAAACTTAGTGGTTTAAAATAACACAAACTTATTTTCTTATAGTTCTAGAGATCAGAAGTCCAAAATGGGTCTCCCTGGGTTAACATCAAGGGCTGTGTTCCTTCTGGAGACTCTAGGGGACAATCTGCTTCCTTGCTTTCCCAGGTTCTAGAGGCTGCCCTCATTCCTTGGCTCATGGCTCATGGCCCCGTCACTCCAGTGCCCACCCCCCACCCCACACGCCATTTCCATCATCATGTCTTCTCTGACTCCCTTATTTCTCCTTCTTACTTATGAAGAGCCTTGTGATTAGATTGGGCCCACCTGATAACTGAGGAGTCTCCCTCCATCTCAAGATCCTTAATCACACCTGCTAAGTCCTTTCTTCCTATGAAAGGCAACAGCCACAGATTCTGGAGATTAGGATGTGAACATCTCCCGGGGGGGCTGGGATTCTGCCCTACCACACAGGATGGCCCATGGTTACTTTGAATTTATCAGGTACAAAATAGAATTCATCATCTAATGATGGAATGAGTTATGCTGCTCATGTAATTCAGGTATTGATCCATCAATAATGAATCATCCATCCTTCATTCATTGAACAAGTGTTAAATGAGTACCTTTGATGTGTCAGCCTCTGCGTCACTAATTCACCTGTGATAGAACAGACATGATCCTACTCTCATGAAGCTTACAATCCAGTGAAACACAGAGAAGAATATATATATTCTTACATATATATAAAATAAATGTAATATAAAAATATATTCTTCTTTTTTTTTTTTTTTTGAGATGGAGTTTCACTCTTGTTGCCCAGGCTGGAGTGTAGTGGTGCAATCTTGGCTCACCACAACCTCCGACTCTCGGGTTCAAGCAATTCTTCTGCCTCAACCTCCCAAGTAGCTGGGATTACAGGTGCCTGCCACCACGCCCGGCTAATTTTTTTTGTATTTTTGGTAGAGACCGGGTTTCTCCATGTTGGTCAGGCTAGTCTCGAGCTCCCGACCTCAGGTGATCCCCCTGCCTTGGCCTCCAGGCCTCCAAAAGTGCTGGGATTACAGGTGTGAGTCACTGCGCCTGGCCAAAAATATACTTATATAATAATATTCTTATATTACATATTATAATATATAATCTGTATTATATATTACATTTTATTTATATATATTATGTATTATATATCTGTATCACTAATTCACTATGATAGAACAGACATGACCCTACCCTCATGAAGCTTATAATCCAGTGAAAGAAAAGAATATAGTTACATATATCCTATAATAAAATATATAATATAAATTCTTATATATAGAATTATTCTATTACATAATATACAATAGAATATAAATATTCACTCATAATTTTATAATTTAAATTGAAGGAGACAGTAGTAGAACATAACATGCAGACTTATTTGAGGTGGTTGTCAGGAAACGGATGAACAAAGAGAATTTAGTATACAGAATTGTAAATTGGGTATTAGAGGGCTGAAACAAAAAGGGAACACTGAGGTGTCAGAAAGCTAGAAACAGCTAGGACACTTAGGTCTGGGGGAATAAAGAGGTCAGAATTGAAAGATTTTTGAAGCTTGCAGGAGAGCCCTATTAAGCTGGAATTGCAAACCCTGAAGAGGAGAACTGCTGGTCTCTGGTATTTCTAAAGGGGCACAATGACATCGGCCCTGGAAAGTTTTAAAAACTTCGAGCTAGGAATTATCCACCGCTGCTGAAATCAAGCGCTACTGCTGCTAGATGAAGAAGCCTGCCTACATTCCTGCTGACCGGAAGGTAGAAAACAGGAAGTCCCTCCTCCTCCTGCCTTCCAGTCTCCCACCAATATCCCTCCCTAGATAGAGAGGCCCCGGCAACAGAAAGCAAAGCATAGAAAATCACTATTTCTTAGGTGGCCTGGGAGAGATCTAAGCTGCCCAAACCATTATAAAGGAAAATTAATTTTAAAGCTTATTGCTCTCTGTGTTGTAGAGATGAACTGAGTCTGTGTTTTATTTATTGTTCTGTTCCAAATTACCCCAAAACGTAGCAGCTTAAAACAGTTTCTGAAGGTCAGGAATCCAAGAGCGGTTTAGGTTGGTGTTTCTGGCTTTGAGTCTCTGGTGGAGCTGCAGTCATCTGATGGCTTGACTGGGGCCTGAGGATCTGCTTCCAAGCTCACTGACAGATCAGCTGGCAGGAGGCTTTAGTTTATCACCACATGGGCCTGTCTGTAGGGCTACTTATGACATGGTAGCTGTTCCTCCCAGAGCAATTGATCCAAAACAGAATGGGAGAGTCATCAACAAGAAAGCTGCAGTGTTTTATAACCTGGTCTCAGAAGTGACCTACCCTTACTTTTGCTATATTCTGTTGATCATACTGACCAACTCTGGAGCAATATGAGGTGATACTGCACAAGGGTGTGAATACATGGATCACTGGAGCCCATCCTGGAAGCTGGCTACCACAGATGGCTATCTAAAACTCTGTCACCTCCACTGAGGTGGTAGCCAGAGTGAAGAATGGCTTATGTGTTCCAGACCCCTGCTGGTTTCCTGTCTGCTCCACCATGAGAAATATTTGAGAGGTCATGCTCAGCTCCCCCCACCCTACTCCCCATGCCCCATCCTCTGTTAGATCAGTTGTTATTGGTTGACTATACTTACTGCAAGATTTGGATATACAGTGCAGTGTTAGAAGATGGGCATATGAATTCTCCAGTAGATCTTGAAACTGTTTATTTTCCACTTCAAAATGACCAGGTCCCTGAGAAGATAGCCTAGTTAGACAATTCAGGGGACAATGGTGCTCTTTGTCTTAGACGTCTTTAGTTATGAAGTTATGCATAATTGGAATTGATATACTTGACTTTTGAAGCCATTGGTAATTGTACCAGGTTGTTCAAATGAAAGTGAAATGTGATTGGCTAGGTTTTTGATAATGCTTTGCTAGTCTATATCTGGAGGTTATATTTCAGGCAAGACAAATAACTTTCCCTAGATAGGTGGTAAGGGTTCAACATAGCTCACTTCTCAATTCTGTGCCTCCCTCGTCTCCAAGAACATGATCCCCTATTGGTGACAAGATGGAGGTCATCCTTGTTGAAACTTGGGCAGTCAGCTTCCCTAGTGCCTTTTCCATTCTTAATGGGTACAACATTGATGCCACAACAACATGGCACCCAGGCATCTAGTCTACCATGGCATCTGTTCTACCGCGATCAGACCAGACATGAACTTGCTTTGTTAGTTATCTAAATGAGGATATCTACTTAGAAATTCCATAGAATAGGTAGATCATTGAATATTGTTGTTGATGTGAATGTGAACAGTTTCTCATCCTCTTTTCTCACTGGGATGGAAAAGAACAGATTTGCAGAGTCAGTAGTTGCATGCCGTATACCCAAGGTCTGATGAATCCGCCCTAGCAGTGACACCATATCTGGCACACCAGCTGCAACTGGTGCTATTACCTGGTTGAGTCTGCGGGAGTCAACAGTCATTCTCTAGGATCCATCTGTTTTCTGCAGACTGGCGATTAAACAAAGATACAACAGGGACCACCAACCCTGCATCTTTTAGGTCTTTAATGATGGTAATAATATCTGCCTCCCCCTGCAACCCGCCAGAATAACAGTTTTCTCACTTTGTCGGGGTTTGTGGAGGGGCCAGTTTCAGAGGTTTCTATTTGGCCTTTCCCACTCTGATTGCTCCTGCTTCACAAACCAAGGGCCTCGATGTGGGCGTTACTCCCACGGCCAAGTATATAATTCTAAGTATGTGCTTTGGAGACTGGGAGAGGCCCCGGGGTGGGTGGAGCCACTGTGGCTCTCATAGGCCCTCACTCTAAAGGGGAGGCTTGATGACACTTTGGGTCTCTGGGTATTAATGTCAACTGAGACCTGTGTGTAATAGTCCTCAAAATGTCTGCTTATTCCTCTTTCCCCAGGAAAGTCACCTGAGTAAACAGCCACAGGTCTCTGGGGGAATTGTCATGGTATATATAATACTTGCCACAGTGTTGCAGGATCCTTCTTCCTGGGAACCTGGCCGCCTCTTCAGTCAATGGGTTCTGGGTCTGAAAATGTACTCTGGGTCTCGGGACTGAGCAAGGGACCATGACTTTTTACTGGGGCAATGTCCCTCAGCCTCTTCTTTCATTCTTGTTTGTTATTATTATTGTAGACATTAACCAACAGCCTTGTAGGTCGGGGGGCACCTGTTGCCCTGTGAGGCCGAGGCTTCTGCAGCATCTTGTAGTACAGCAAAAGGGCTAACCCTTAATAGGGAGCAGTGGGCCATCTCTGCGTGCCCAGAGGCGGGTGGGAGGGGTGGAGGTTGCAGAGCTCAACACCTTCAGAGGCATCCATCCAGATTTTCCTGTCCTAGTTTTTAGGATCAAAAGTTTTCTCTACCAGGGCCTCAACGGCCCAGTAACAGACCTAAAGTAGCTGTGTGCAAACATTTCTGGAGCCCTGTGACTCCCAGGTCTTCAGCTTAGTGTTCAATTGTGTCTGCCTTTTTACTATTGGTGACGATGACCTCTTTATAAGAGACACTGCTTTTTATTCTTATCTCCATTAGCTGCTATGGCTCTCGGTCTCCACTTTGTGCAGGTCATTAGTATAACTCAATCATGTCTTTGTGATCCCCATGTTTTTCAAATCCCTTTACCATTGCACCTGCCATAGCTTTCCCCTCCACCAGGACATTTCCTCGGGTCACTATCAATGAAAACATTAAAAACTGAACCACCACCTACAGCCCAGGACTATCGCTGACCACATATCCCTTAGGATGGCTTCCTGTCTGCCTTCTGGGTGCTGGGTGAGCCAGTCCCAAATTACCATCTGACTGCCTGATTTCTCAGACCGCTCACTTATGACTTGTGCTAATCCAGGTCCTCTGAGAAACAGTTACTAACATGGGATTCAATGTGCAAGGATTTCATGCAGGGAAATACTTGTGTGAAAGGAAATAAAGAGCTGTGGAAGTTGAGAGACTTACCAGAGAGAGAGCGCGGGAGAGAAATGGTGCAGATTGAGATTGGATAGAGTTGCCTAAACTGCTGTGCAATCTAAGGAAGGTTTGGTAACACCTTCGGGAGTCCTTGAGCCAGGCTGATAAGAGTCCTGTGTCTACCAGCACTGGGTCTTCCTTAGTTTCCTCACTGCACTCGGTCACAGGTGGGGAACAGCCTGAGGGGCTGCAGGCTTGGTGCAAATGTGGTGATGAGTTTCAGAGGGCAGCAGCTGATGCTCTGGGTCAATTACACTCCTGCAGTGGGAGACTTGTGAGGGACAATCTCATGGCCTCCAGGAACCACTGATCTTCCTGCGAGCCTACTTACCACTGTGACAGGAGGGAAGCCAGAGTTCATGAGTAATGAACTTTCACGAAATATTCAATTCTTAGTTTTCAGCACAAGATCTAATTCTCTCTTGCTGACTCGAGGATTTTGATCCAGCGATTACCTCTTTCCTCCTGTATCATCAGTTTCTCCTAGCTACTGGATTATTTCCACCCATATTCAGTAACCTCTTCCTGACCTCACTTGTGCTCAGGTGCCTGCCATTTCTTTGCTCCTTGTCAAAAAAAAAAAAAAAAAAAAAAGTGAGGTGGGGGGAACTTCTTGAAAGAGTTGTCTGTACTTGCCTCCACTTCTTCATTTCCCAGCTCTTTGCTCACAGTAAGAGCAGCTTTACTTTTTATGATTAATTAAAACATTTAAGTACAATGTGGTGGGAAGTAGGAAGAAAGCAAATAGCATCCAAAATTACATCATTTTGTTAGGGGGAAGGGAAGGACAGGGAGTGATTTGTTAAAGCAGTGGTCCCCCACCTTTTTGGCACCAGTGACTGGTTTTGTGGAAGACAAGTTTTCCATGGACAGGGCATGGGGAAGGTGGGGAGCGGGAATGGTTTCAGGATGAAACTGTTCCACCACAGATCATCAGGCATTAGATTCTCATGTGGAGTTTGGAACCTCCATTCCTTGCACGTGCAGTTCACAATAGGGTTCGCACTCCTACGAGAATCTAATGCCACTGATCCGACAGGAGTTGGAGCTCAGGCGGTAATGCTCTGGTGGGGGTTGGGGACCCCTGTGTTAAAGGATACAAATTACAGCTAGATAAAAGGAAGAAGTTCTCCTGTTCTATAGCACTGTAGGATGACCGTTAGTTAATAATGATACAGAGTTTCAAATAGCTAGAAGGAGGATATTGAATGTTCCCAACACAAAGAAATGACAAACGTTTGAGATAATGGATGTGCTAATTACCTGATCTGGTTACTATACTTTATATGTATAAAACCAGCACTATGTACCCCATAAATATGGACAATTATTATGTCAATTAAAAAATATTTTCCTCAAAAAATGACATCATTTGAAGTTTGGTGACTTCCTTTGTCTTTACGTGCATACATATTGGTTTACATAGAAAGAACATTTTCCAGGCTGCTTTTCTATTGTTCCCCTTCACCCCAGTTTGGAGGGCCTTGTTTCTCTCTCTCTCCATCTCCATCTCTTGATACAGCCCCACGCCCCCTGTCGTGTACACACACGTGCATGCCTGCACACACAATGGTACGTATACTGCTGAAACGGGGCAGGTTCTCTTATCCCCCTGGCAGGGCATGCGATAGGCGTGTGGCTTGCTTCTTTGGTTCTCTGCCGCTCACACCTCTGGGAGAGCATGCAGACGGGCAGGTTGTGGGGCTCCGACCCCGGGCAATGTCTAAGGGCGAATGTTTACAGCCGAAGCCCCAGTGGGTGTGTGTTACAGGGTGTTCGTTCAGTTGAGCTGTCCATAGCAGCATGTGTTAATCAGCTCAATGAGGCCCTTGCCTTATTGCAAGGACAGAGGCTTTCTGTATCTTGGGTTTCTTGCCTTAGTGTACCCGAAGAATCAGATCACACGTGGGCTTGATTGAAGAATGAATGCAAGGTTTTATTGAGTGGAAATAGCTCTCAGCAGATGGGGGAGCCAGAAGGGAGATGGTTTTCCCCTGGAGTCGGGCACTTGGCAGCCAGTCTCTCCTCCCACCGTCCCGGCCAAACCCCCAAACTCCGCGTGGTTCCGCTGATCAATGGCCTGCCGGCTGTGCTCTCCAGCCCATGTGCTTCTCTCGGTGTCCAGCCGCCTGTGTGTTCTTTCGCTAATGTGTGTTCCTCTCGACGTCCAGCCGCTTGTTGTCTCTGCCCACTAGGGTCTTGGGGTTTTTATAGGCACAGGATGGGGTCGTGGCAGGCCAGGCTGTTCTTGGGAAATACAACATTTGGGTGTGAAGGCAGGAGTGCCTATCCTCACCTAGGTCCGTGGGCACAGGCCTGAGGGCGGATCCCTAGCCAGGGACCTGCCTTTCTCTACCCAGCACTTCCCTGTCCCCCGTCCATATCACTGCCATGCTTTCCTCCATGTTCTCAATCACACAACATTTATTTTGTTTGCATAAAAATAGGATCAGACTATAGATGCTTCCCTGCAGCTTGCTTTTCTCATTTAACAAAACCTTGTTAAAAACCTTCTAAGTCACTTAGCACAGACTTTGTGGTCAACGTACAATCAAACATTTATTCAACCACTCCCTGTTCACCTGTTGCTAGGTGTTAATTCTCTTTCTAGAGTTTTGCCACAGTAACTAATGATGCCATCTCTCTATATATCTGTATCTATCTATATGTATAGCATCTCTATCTATTCATCCATCCATCTACACCCACACATATACACATATCCTGATATACTGGTCCTCCCCATCCCACTGTGTGGAACGATTCCTAACAGTGGGGTTGCTGGGTCCAAGAGAGTCTGTATTTTTAATTTTAACAGATTTTGCCAGATTGCTTAAAAAAAAACTACAGCGATTTACATTTCCTTCAGAACTGCAAGATAATTTCCTTCCCATCCCTGACCCCCATTCCTTCTCAAGTATTATCACCCTTTGGAGTTTTTGCCGTCAGGTGAAAAATGCTGCCACACCGTGACTTTGGTTTGTATCTTTCCGACTGCCAGCCAAGGTTGAGTTTCCTTAGTGGATAATTACCTGATTTTGAAGCCAGTCTGCCTGAGTGTGAATTCCAGTTTCATCACGTACCAATGATATGCGCTTAGTAGATTTATTTACCCTCTATGTGCCAGTTTCCTCATCATCTCTATAATGGGATAATAATAGTTCTTGTTTCATAGGGTTATTGAGGAGGTTTGGTTATTAGAAAAGATCCTGGCATATAATAAACACTAAAAAAATAGTTGTTTTAAATATGTTTATTGGCTGTTTGGATATGCTATTTTGTGGGATGACTGCAACTTTGCTCATTTTCTATTGGGTAGTTTGTCTTTTCTCCCCCTATCTAGTTTCAGATCTTGTTTCACCTCTTTCATTAAATATTTTAAAGTTTTCTTCATATAGGTCATGTTCTTCTCATATTAAATTTATATAATTTGTCACTGCAATGAATAGATTATTTCTATTGCTAACAGATTGTAACTGTTATAGAGAAAGTATTGATTTGTAAATATTTGTCTAGTATAGAGCCATCAAATTCTGTTATTCTGGTAAAACTTGTTGTGAATTTTGGACTTTCTTAGCACATAATATTATTTAAAGAGAGGATTTTGTCTCTTTTTTCCCAGCATTTGTACTGTTTATTTTATTTTTCTCCTGTGACGTCAGAACTTTCAAAACAGCGATGACCAGCAGGTATCTCTGTCCTATTCTTGATTTTGGTGACATGAGCAATTCTTTGTGGACAGCAGCTTTGATCAGTGCCCGTGGAATTTCATCTTGCTTGTGATCTTCCATTCTTGATTGCCTGCACTGTGGATTTCAGACTTGTTTAGCCAGGCTCCACGATCACACAATCCAATTCTTTTCAAATATATCTCTTCAGAGGAGAGTAAGCGCGCGCTGGCGCACACAACACACACATGCACCCACACACACTCACCCACGCACCCCCCCCTCTGGTTCTGCTGCTCTGGTTGAACCCGGACTGATACATCCAAATACTAGTTATTTAGAAGGCTGTGGTAATATTTGGACAAATTAAGAAGCTTGTTTTGAGCATCAAAGTCAAAATGTAAAACTTAGAATTAAAATTTAGAGCCTGCTCCAAATTCTACAGGCTCATGCCTGTAACCTCATGAAAGGCTGGAGGATCACTTGAGCCCAGGAGTTCAAGACCAGCCTGGGCAACACAGCAAGACCCTGTCTCAAAATAAAATAAAATAAAATTGAGAACATCAGCTGCTCATTTTTAATATATTTTACATTTCATCTGTTAATTTACCAGTAGAAAAAAATCTGTTTAGGGCAGGTTATTTAAATCCACACACCTTTATTAAATCCTTTATATATAAATTAACTACAGTCATATAAGGTTTCATGTGAAAAGTTTCATGCAAAATGATACTTGACACATAGATATATTTTCAAAAATTCACTTTCATTCTTACAAAGGATTGTAATAGTCAAATTTAGTTTATTTTTTCATGCCATGTGAGAGTACATAGAGTATCTTTAAAATGAAGGCAAACAAAGGATTAATTTAATAACAATATATATGAAAACATTTCTATTTTGGAGATAGTTCAAGAATATTTTTCAGATCTTGAATTTGGTGATGCCTACTACGAGCTTATATTTAGTATTTCTTGGTCAAACACACACTCTCAATATCACTATGTAATACACTGTTTCTCTATATGCATATATCTGTAATAAACAAACTTTCAGTTTTCCTAATTCTTCTTACGTTTTCTTTGAGGTTTGTGAAGTGGTTCATAAATATATCGTCTATAAATCCTCATGTACCGAAAGTAGCTCAAAACAAGAATAGTGAAGAAGAGCAGCATCAGGACGAAGAGGAAAGAAGCTACCAGGTAGACACTTGGACTGAAATCAGAAAAAAAAAAAAAAGGCATTAGAAGTCATTGTTCACACTTTGGCTGTTAATTTATTTAAACACTTTTTGAATAGCTAGCTACTATGCCATTGACAGAGAGCAAAGGTGAATAAGACACACTGTCCACCCTCACAGTGTTTACCTTTTAGTGTTTGAGGCTGACAGGGAGGAAAATAGACAAGGTGATCAATGCAGTGATGCAATGGGAGGAGGAAATGAAGTTGGTTTTTTTTTTTTTTGAGATGGAGTCTCCCTCTGTCACCCAGCCTGGAGGGCAATGGCTCACTGGAAGCCCTGGCTCCTGGGTTCAAACCATTCTCCTGCTTCAGCCTCCCAAGCAGCTGGGATTACAGGAGGGCACCACCACACCCAGCTAATTTTTGTATTTTTAGTAGAGACGGGGTTTCACCATGTTGGCCAGGCTGGTCTCGAACTCCTGACCTCAAGTGATTTGCCGGCCTTGGCCTCCCAAAGTGCCAAAAGGGATTACAGGCGTGAGCCACTGCACCCAGCTAGAAATGAAGTTCTGTGGGAGCCGCACATCATGGAAGGCCTTCCAGTGGAGGGGATGTCTGAACTGAGCCTGGGCAGGAGTTAGCTTGGTATGAGTATGAGTGGGAGTAGGAGTTAGCTAGATAAAAATGCCTAAGAGTGGAGGAATAGACCAAGGTGGGAACAGTGTTTCAGACAAAGGGAGAAGGGTATGAGAAGGCATGGAAATGTGGTAACACCTCAGGACCACTCCTAGACATTCTGGAACTGCAGCTCCTTCAGTATGACAGCAGCTCAGGTGCCAAGGGGAGTGGTTGGAGATGAGGATTGATAGGTGGGCAGGGCCAGATGAGAAAAACTGCTTAAGTCAAGCTAGAGAGTGGGTTTTAGCCTAAGGCAGGAGAGAGCTTCAGAGGGATGATATAGGATTGACATTTTACAAGGATGATTGTGGAGTGTGAAGAATGGATGAAAGCAAAGCATGAGTGTGAAGGTAGAAAAGGCAGTTATGAAGTATTTGAATAATCCAGGTAAGCTACGATGAGAGTCTTCACAAAATTAATGGCCGAAGACATGGAGAGAAGCGGATATATCTAAGATACATGTAGAAGTTATATTGGATCAATCTTGGTGATTATTAAGATGTGGGGTTTGAGAAATATGAAGGAATAAAGGTTATCTTCCTTCCATATGGCTATATGTAATTGCCCTGACGGATCAGTTTTAAGGTAGATTAAATAATGGAATAGGGGAGCGTGTGATAAGATCATGAGTTCACTTTTGGACATGTCCAGTTTGACTAGTCTTTGAGACACCTAAGAGAAGAAGTTAAGTAGACAGTAGGATGTATGGCTTTGGACTGTTCTAGAGATATTATTTGGGAGCCATGTGTATATAGATGCTAACTCAAGTCATGATTGTGGATGAGCTTGCCAGAGTGGGAAGCTCAGGACAGGACTGAGCCTCAGGGGAGGCCAACATTTAAAGGCTGCTAAAGGAGGGTGAGGCTTTCTTTACTAGGGAGAGAGAGGCAGTGGCTACAGAAGTTTGGGAAAACCCACAGTGTGATACAACAGCCAAAGGTAGAGTCAACGCTGAAGAAAGATCTAATAAGATGAGGACTGGAAAATATCTATTAGCTCCATGAAGGCCAAAGCTATTGTAATGAGAACTAATCGGCAGAGTGATGAGATAGAAACCCGACTGGATGGATCGGAGAAAGAGGGCTGGACACAGGGAAATGGAGACTGTGAGTGTAGACAATACTTTTGAGAAGTTTTGTCCTGCAACGGAGAAACTTGAGGGTCACTAAAAACCTATTAGAAGGATCTAGTTGAAAGGGAAAGTTGAATATACAGAAGAGAGAAGGAATAATTCATTTGAAAGTTTCCTCAGTAAGTGGAGAGGAACAGATAGTGTGCAAAGCATAGGTGGAAGAATTATATTTAAAAAGGAGGAATAATATTGCCTTTGTTGTAACAGGACGGAAAGAGGAGAGGATGGATGTAGATGTTAGTAGATTTTTATGTTTGCAATCTGGAATAGAGGGCGTTCCTGTCTGATGGTTTCTAATTTCTTTGTGAGGGTGGAAACAAGCTCATCTGATGATGATTAAGGAAAGCAGGTTTGAGGAGGAAACTAATTAGATACAATCTGAAATCGCTATTACAGAGAATGCTGCTCAGGTGTAGTCACAGAAAAAGTAGGTAGTTGGGGATTTGCCAGAGGGAGTAACAAATCCCAGAGGGGTGAGGGTGTACTGGTAAGTGTTGTTGAAATAATAGACTTTGAAATGTAAGGAAATGCAAAGTAAAAAAAGAGAGATTGGAAGTAGAGGTGGAGGTTCCAGTAAGGGTGAAGGGGGGTTGCGGTGGGTGTCATGGATTAACAAGCTGGAAGGACAGGAGGTCGTGATCAGAGAATGGGATGTCTGGATTGATGCTTTAGGAAGCAGAGAAGTTACAAGTAATGACAGTGTGGAAGGTGTAACTATGGGAGTGGATGGCTGAAGTGCAGTAGAGGGAGGTCACCAAGGATGTGGTAAGGCCACGATTTTGGATGCTGGATGCGAACACTGATGGTGGGGCTTGACGTGGAGAGGAAAACAGTGTGAGTGTGACGGGGCCAAAGTTGAGAATGAATGCAGCAGACTGTGGGGAGGACATGGTGATGAGGACAGACAGCTGGGGCTGCAGCGGACGCCATGAGCCTCAAAGGATCGGGTAGGTTTTGTGTTTATTTTTTTGGTTTTGTTACAAGAACGAGGATAAATAATATCTGGAATTGGTAATAGGGCCCCCTGAGGTACATGGCAGGTGAAAGAAAAGAGCACCACTCGAGAGGCCAGAAGGTGGAGCAGTGTCCTCGGGGGAGAGTCTGGTTTCCCCAAGGAGAGAGAGGGAGGGCTCAGAGGATGGTTGAAGATCTGGGTGAGTCTGCTGGTTAAAGGATGGCAATTCCAGAGAGAGAGCAGAATGGAGACACTGGGCAAGTGGTGGGGTTGAGTGCTGGACTAGGAGCAAGGAAGTGCCGAGCTCTTTGCCTTCTACAAACTCATCTCCAGTCGCTGCTCTAGAAAAGGACTCAATTAAGAAAATATCAACCACCAGCCAGCCCTTGTCTGCCTCTGCTACCCTTCAGGGCCCAGGTGTTAACAGAGGCTAACCTACAGTCACTAACCAGACTATCCTGTATGCTGTGCTCATATGCCCTGGCTGCTGGACTCTAGCTGCTGGCAGGTGAGAGCGGGGCAGGTGAGTGAGATCCTCCTCCTTTGCTCTTTCTCCTGGCTAACTCACTTGACTCCTTCTTCGGTTGGTGGGTACTTGGGTGGGTATATACCTTAATATTCACCTAAATCAAACATACCAACCCCATGACCTTAATATTCACCTAAATCAAACATACCAACCCCATGAGGAAAAGTCACTAGGAAAAGGTTCTGCATGTTTCCCAAAGTTATGTAGAAACAACTCTTGACTTCATTTGCAGATTATTCACACTATTAACATTCCATTAATACAAAAACTCCAGGAGTCAGTCATATTTACAGTAGGGCCATGAGTAACTTAATTGTTTTTCTTACGCCCTTATTTAACAATCCTCTCCCCTCCCCCGCAAAAAAAACCCATCAAACAAAACCCAAACACCCAAATTCCAAACACCAGGCCCAAAACAGAGTAGCAAAGTCATTTGGGGTCCTAACTTCAGTATTAGGACTTTTCATTCTGCCCTCCAAGGGAACTGGAGCTGAGTCCAGGGAAATCCCTTTACTGTTTCCTAAATGCATCAGAATGAGGGTCTATGGTTGAAAGCTGACCCAGGCTTAGAGCAGAGGGCACAGCCACTGTCACCTCCCAATCCCTACCACTGCATTCTGGCATCTGCCAAGTAGGAGGAGCTGAGACATGTTTGATAGGAAGGCAGTGGCTGTTGAGTGGGATGGCACGAAAGGGGACCTTTGCTGCAGTAACAGTTCTCAGGAATTCCTTCCTGCTGTGCCCCTGTATACACACTATACACACATACAATTTTTAGGATGTCATATAGGGGGCAGAAGTACCAGGGCTTCAGGGAAACAGCAAGTTTCTGTCATTTGGGAAGATAGATTTCATAGCCCCCCAAAAATCTAAATATAGACTTATTAAAACCATTGACTTTGCAGTGAACACTTCATACAAGTTTTTTGTTGTTGTTTTAGGATTCATTTGCATTATATACTGTATAATAATAATTTTCATAATAAGATTTAAGCTGGGGGCCCTGAAAAGTGAGTGCACAGGCTGCTTCTGGGAGACACGGGGGAGAGGTGCTTTTCCTTCTTAGCTGCCATTTGTGTCTTAGAAATTCCCTAATTAAAGTCCAGTTAGGCCCTGCTCCTTACCTGGGAATCAGTCCAAATGTCTCTATTGCAAACATAGCTGTTAGGTTACAGAAACTGCAAAGCAGAAAAATAATATGAAAGATTACACTAAGTACAATATATTTTAAAACGCTCTCCATGTCCCTATGGTAACAATCAAACCATATATAATCCTAGTTAAGGTGTCATTTTCTTGACAAAGGACAGAATGGATACATTTATAGAACAGCTGTGATTATTTTTCCATATGTACAGCTCAGGCTTCTCTGAGATTCCTGAAGAGCTCTCTGTCCTAACAGCCTGACATCATTTTGATAGTGGTTCCCAAGGCAACAGGAATAATGGTATTAATAATAAGTATTGGCAGAAATAAAAAAAAGCTAACATTTATGAGTATTAATACTTATTGAAAATGAATACTGGCAGGCGCGGTGGCTCACACCTGTAATCCCAGCCTTTGGGAGGCCGAGGTGGGCAGATCACCTGAGGTCAGGAGTTTGAGACTGACCTGGCCAACATGGTGAAACCCCTTCTCTACTAAAAATACAAAAATTAGCCAAGCATGGTGGTGGGCACCTGTAGTCACAGCTACTTGGAAGGCTGAGGCGGGAGAATCTCTTGAACCCAGGAGGCGGAGGTTGCAGTGAGCTGAGATTGCGCCGCTGCACTCCAGCCTGGGCGACAGAGTGAGACTCCATCTCAAAAAAAGAAAATGAATACTAATTGAGCATTGCTATGTACTAGGCGGCATGCCAAACGCTTACATGCATTATCTTAGTTGATCTTCACAGCAACCCTTCCTTTTAGATGAGGAAACTCAGATGAGGAAGCTCAGATAGGTTAAGCAACTTGAGAAAGTTTACACAGCTGTTAGTAGCAGAGCTGGGATTTGCATTCAGGTTTTTCTGACCCTGCTGCCCATCATGTTGACCTGATGTAGGCTAACTCCTTCAGGAAGCTGAGTATTAGGGGCTCCATCTGTAAAACTGTATTATCATTTCTAATATTACAGAATGTCTCTCATTATTAAGTATATTGCTTGGAATGAGGCAGGATATAGCTAAGCAAACATTTATGACATGATTTCACCTACCTACATGTGGGAGAACACAGAAGAAAGGAACTTATTTTTATTATTTGTTATGTGCTTGGCAAAGTTAGAGATTTTCACCCAGATGCTTCATTTACCCCTCAGAATACTGTAAGACAGGTATTATCGACCCATTCTACAGATACAGAACGGCTCAAAAAGAGTAAGCAATTTTCTTTAGACTGAATAGCTAGTAGTGGCAAAACTGGGATTCAAACCAAAGTAGACTCTACCATTATATCAACTTGTGGAATTGGCATGTAAATACAACCCACAAACAACAATACAAGATACTATGTTATAAATTCTAGGCTGGGCACGGTGGCTCACACCTGTAATCCCATCACTTTGGGAGGCCTAGGTGGGAGGATTGCCTGAGCTCAGGAGTTGGAGACCAGCCTGGGCAACATGGTGAAACCCCATCTCTACTAAAATACAAAAAATTAGCCAGGTGTGGGGGTCTGTGCCTATAATCCCAGCTACTTGGGAGGTTGAGGCAGGAGAATTGCTTGAACCGGGAGGCGTAGGTTGCAGTGAGCGGAGATCGCACCACTGCACTCCAGCCTGGGCAACAGAGTGAGGCTCCGTCTCAAAAAAAAAAAAAAAAATGAGTGATGTAGACACCTGTCACAGGAATTTTCACAGCACGGCAAAGAGGCTTGTGTTGAGTCCTAAAGGTTGGAGTTTAAATAAGGATGAAGGGTTAGGGCATTCCAGGTGTAGGGAGAGATGAGCAAAGGTTTGGAAATGGGAATGAATTTGTGAGGTTTAAGGGATAATGAGGAAATATCTTGGTGCATGTAGAGGAAAGTAGTGGGGGTTTTGTGTGCGTGTGTGTGTGTGTGCATGCGTGTGCTCATGCCTGCACATGTGTCCTCCAGAGGGCTTTAATGAAAGGCTTAGGAATTTTGACTTTACCCTTTTTGTATAAAGGAGTCATGACTGTTTTTGAATTTAATTCAATAGCAGTTTGTAAAGTGATTTGGAATAGATTAGATGTAAGTGGGCCATATGGAAAAATTATACATAGTAGTAAACAACCCAGCTGTGTGATAATGAGGTCTAGACTTGGGTAGAGGCAATTGTGACTGAAAAGAGGGCCAAGTTGACCTTTGATAGAATGAAATTGTGATGAATCAGCATGGAATAAGTGCAACTGGAACTTTATGGTTTAAAAGTTGTTAGATGTAGTGTTGTCAAATGGATTGAATTGGTTGATAGCACAGTTAGGTATTCTGTATCCTTACTGATTTTCTCTCTACTTGTCCTATCAATTTCTGAGAAAGGAATGTTGAAATCTCCAACTGCAATTAGGGGTTTGTCTGTTTCTCTGTTTAGTTCTATCCGTTTTTGTTTCATGTATTTTGAAGCTGTTTTAAAGGTAAATCCACATTTAGGATTATTACACCTTCTTTATCATTATGTAATGTGTCTCTTTATACCTTCCTTGTTCTGAATTCCTCTTTATCTGCTATTAATATGGCCAATCTGGCTTTCTTTTGACTACTATTAGCATGGTTTATCTTTTTTTATCCTTTTACTTTTAATCAATCTATGTCTTCATATTTAATATAGGTTACTGGTAGACAGTCTGTAGTTAGGTCTTATATTTTTATCCAATGTGACAATCTCCGTTCTTTAATTGGGATATTTAGACCATTTGTATTTAATGTAATTGTTGATATCGTTAGAGTTAAATCTACAGTCTTGCTATTTGCTATCATTTTGTTGTTCCTTTCTCCTTTTCTTCTGTCCCTTTTTGTATTAATAAAGTTTTTTTAATGATTCCACATTATCTTCCCTATTGGCTTTTATAGGTTTGTATCTTTTTCTAATGTGGTTTGTATACAATATCAATCATTAATTTATCACATTTTTCTGGCAAATAGTATACCATTTAATGGTATACTATTTGTATATATACCATTCTTAAGTATAAGAATCTTAAAACACTATGCTTCTAATCCTTACTCCCATCCTTTGTGCCATTGTTTTCATCCATTTTACTTTTATTACATGTTATAAACCCCATAGTATTTTCTTTTCTTTTCTTTTTCTTTTTCATTTTTTTTTTTTTTTTGAGTTGGAGTCTCACTCTATTGCCCAGGCTGGAGTGCAATGGCATGATCTTGCCTCACTGCAACCTCCGCCTCCCAGGTTCAAGTGATTCTCCTGCCTCAGCCTCCCAAGTAGCTGGCATTAAAGGCGCACACCACCATGCCCGGCTAATTTTTGTATTTTTAGCAGAGACGGGGTTTCACTATGTTGGCCAGGATGGTCTCAAACTCCTGACCTCATGATCTGCCCACCTCGGCCTCCCAAAGTGCTGGGATTACAGGCGTGAGCCACCACACATGGCCACAGTATTTTCTTTATTTTTGCTTTTTGTTTGTTTTTTAATCTTTTGAGACAGGTTCTCACTCTATCACCCAGGCTAGAGTGCAGTGGCACCATCACAGCTCACTGCAGCTTCAACCTCCCTGGCTCAACCAATCCTCCCACCTCAGCCTCATTTGGGTGAATACCAATGAGTACGACTGCTGGGTCATACAGTAAGAGTATGTTTAGTTTTGTAAGAAACTGCCAAACAACTGTCTTCCAAAGTGGCCACACCATTTGGATTTCTGTCAGCAATGAATGAGAGTTCCTGATATTCCATATCCTTGTCAGATTTGATATTGTCAGTGTTCTGGATTTTGACCACTCTAGTAAGTGTGTAGTGGTATCTTATTGTTTTAATTTGCATTTTCTAATGACATAAACATGTTGAACATTTTTTCATATGCTTTTTGTCATTCATTTATCTTCTCTGGAGAGGTGTCTGTTCAGATCTTTTGCCCATTTTTAAATCTGGTTATTTTCTTATTGTCGAGTTGTAAGCGTTCTTTGTATATTCTGGATAATAATCATTTATTGGATCTATCTTTTGTAAATATTTTCTTCCAGTGTGTGGCTTGTCTTCTCATTCTCTTGACATTGTCTTTCACAGAGCAGAAGTTTTTAATTTTAATGAAGTCCAGCTTTTCAATGATTTATTTCATGGATCATACCACTGGTGTTTATCCAAAAAGTCATAGCCATATGCGAGGTTAATTAGGTTTTTTCCTATGTTAGTTATCTTCTATGAGTTTTATAGTTTTGCATTTTACATTTAGGTCTATGATTTCTATATTCCCTTTTTTTTATTTTAGAGATGGGATCTTGCTATGTTGAGCTTGAAGTGCTGGGCTCAAATGATCCTCCCCATCAGCCTCCTGAGTAGCTGGTACTGAAGGCATGCAACACCATGCCCAGCTATATTACTTTTACTGAGGTGTTCATGTTGCAAGCATAACCCAGTTCTTATCACGCTCCATCTCAACAAACACGTTGTTTCTAGACAGATTTAGATCCTACCAAGTTCTAGAGAGCAATATGAAAGTCAAACTCAGGAGAGGAAGGGTTACACAGAAAAATAACTGCAGAATTTTGCTAACTTATATAAGCAATACCCTAAGAATATGTATAGAAAAAATGAATTCTGAGAGTGTTAGACCAAGGAAGTGTAAGCATAACTCTAGGTCATATTCAATTGTTGATATGAATGCATTAAATGAAGTTGAGATGCAAGAAATCCTTTATTATAATGTATAGAAATAAGTCTAAAGACTTAGAGAAAGGGGAGTACTGGAGTGAATTGATCAGATGCGAACCACTCATTCTCCCTGAGATAGGACCCATAAGATACTCCTTTCACCATGGCATTGAGAACTACATCAGTGACAGAAACACCAAAGGTTTTGATCCCAGAACACTTCCCAGTAAACTTCCTGCATGCTAACCTTCATCTCAAAGTTTCCTTTCCAGGGAACCTGCAACACCTAGAATAACTCAATTTAAGTTATTTGGTTGAACTGTTCCGAAGACTGATGAGTTTTGGGGACTGATAGAATATTATGAGATTAATCAGTAGTTGCTATCTCCCCCACGCAATGTAGTCTCATCGAAGAAGCAAATCCATACCACCCCCAGCATCTGATAAGCAGCCATTCATTTAGCAAATTATTCCCTCCTCCCCACACCACTAACATGTAAATCTTTAACAAACTGCTATTCCAACCTGAATGAGTTTTGAATTCCAGATACTTAAATATATTACACTGTACAGAAAACAGTAAAACTCAAAAAGTACACATGATGTGGGAGCTTTCACCACCATCCCTCAACACTCTGATATCTGCAGAGCAAAGAACATGAGCTTTGCTATCAGACTGACTGAGGCTCAAGTCTTGTTTCACTACATTCTCTGTGGCCCTGGGCAAGAAACTCAACAGGCAGAAAGGATCAGAGGCCGTTTGCTTTCACCTGGGGAATACCGTAGTCCACCTCCCTTCTTGCTTCAGGACCACATCCACTCTATGATCCTGCTGTCATGGAGTTTGTTTTCATCATCATCTCATAGAACATCATGCTGGTCCACTATATTGATGATACATGACCTGGAGGGCAGGAGGTAGCAGGTACTGCAGATATATTAGTAAGATAAAGGAGACAAGGCCAAGTGTCGTGGCTCACACCTGTAATCCCAGCAGTTTGGGAGGCTGAGGCAGGTGGATTGCTTGAGGTCAGGAGTTTGAGACCAGCCTGGCCAACATGGCAAAATCCCGTCTCTACTAAAAATACAAAAATTAGCCAGGCATGGTGGTGCATGCCTGTAATCCCAGCAACTCAGGAGGCTGAGGCACAAGAATTGCTTGAGCTTGGGAGGCAGGGACTGCATTGAGCTGAGATCATGCCATTGTACTCCAGCCTGGACCACAGACCAAGACTCTGTCTCAAAAACAAAAGATAAAGGAGACAATGCCAAGCCTGCTGGCTCACACCTGTAATCCCAGCACTTTGGGAGGATTGATTGAGGCAAGGAGTTCAAGACCAGGCTGGGCAACATAGCAAGACCTTGTCCCTACCAAAAAAAAAAAAAAAAAAAAAAAGGTAAGAGAGACAAGTCCCATGAGTTGTGGGGTACATGATATACTGTTGAGAGTAAAAGACAAGTTCCTGCTTTTTATACTTCCTTCCACAAGAAAGGGATATGCCTTTTTATGGCACACTTTGGATTTTGGAGGCAACATGTACCGCACATAATTTGGATGTGCTTCTCCAAATATGCAGAGGGACCTGAAAGTCAGCCAGAATGAGGTCCAGGGTGAAAAGCCCGTCTAGATGGTCCAGGTGATGCAAACGGGGCTGAGATCTGACTCTTATGACCTAACAGATCTAAAGGTGCTTGATATGTCTGTGGCAGAGGAGGAAGCTGTGTGACTGCGGAAGTTCTGATGGGGAATATCAGCAGATGCCTCTACAGTTTTGAAGCAAAAGCAAGTACTCTTGGGCAAGTAACAGTTCTCTTGAGAAACCGCTCATGGCTTAGGTATTGGCAGAAATTGAACTTCTGACCCCCAAACACCAAGTAACCATGAAACCTGGGTTGCCTCTTATAACTGAGTGTTAGTCTTATCTCTAACACCAGGAAGTCAGAAGTGCTCAAATGAACTCTGTCATGAAGTGTAAGTACAGAACTGGTCTTGGGATGCCGAAATGCACAAATAAGCACGTGAATAGCTGACTCAGCTCCCATTTGCCTAGATGTGGGGAGTTCCTCGCTGATGAAAAAAATATGAGAAAGATTTACAGATTGCTCTGAATCTAGATGTGGACAGCTGTGGCGCTATAGCTCCATCCAGATGTAGTCTTGAGGAACAGTGGAGAAGAAAAGGCCTCCGAGCATAAAAATCTTCAAGTACGATAATTTTCCCACTTTTCCTAATAGGAGAGATGGCCTGAGGCATAATCACAGGCAGGGGTAAATATGTGGTGACATGGCCAGGACTTGGAAAAAACAAGAGTTGATGAGAAGAAATATTAGGGAAAAGCATGGAGATGAAATTCTTAGAATGAGACTAGTAGATCTGAAATTTGGGGTTTTATGTGAATGTTTATCAAAACACTTTTACTAGAGAGGAAGCTCTTACTTTACCACCTGAGCACCATATGGTTAGCCTATTTCCCCAGCTACTCGAATGCTTGCTCAATGGGCTCATAAACAATGGGGCTGTGGTGCCTAGTATGGCCTTATAAGCATGGATTTCCCTTACCAAGGATGACCTGGATACCACCACTACAAAATACCATGCACTAGTCCCCCTTTATCCACAGAGGATAGTTCCAAGACCCCCACTAGATGCCTGAAACCATGGATAGTACCAGACCCTACATATAGCTATGTTTTTCCTATACATACAAACCTATGATAAAGTTTAATTTGTAAATGAGGCACAGTAAGAGCTGAACAATAACTAGTAATAAAATAGAACAATTATAACGACATGACAGCATCACTACTTTTGCACTTTGTGGCCATTACAAAGTAAAGTAAGGGTTACGGGAACACAACAGTATTGCTTTAACGCTACAATGGATCTGATAGCCAGGATGGCTATTAAGTGACTATCAGGCAGGTTATGCACATAGCACTGATACACTAGACAAAGAGATCATTCACATCCCAGGCTGGATGAGGTGGGACAGTGCTACATTTCATCATGTTGCTCAGAATGGCATGCAATTTAAAATCTATGAATTGTTTACTTCTGGAATTTTCTATCTCATAGTTTTGGACCACTGTTGATTGTAAGTAAGTGAATCATGGGAAGCGAAACTGTGGATAAGGAGAAATAGCATGCAGGTAAACCTTGTTTTATTGAGTTTCCCTTTACTGTGCTTGGCAGATACTGTGAATGGCACCAACAGGCTTGCTCAACACGGGATTAACACAAACCTTTGATTTTTATAAACATCATGTGCTTGCTTTGTGTCTGTCACATTTTGGTAATTCTCACAGTATTTCAATTTTTTTTTTTTTAACAGGGTCTTGCTCCGTCGTCCAGGCTAGAGGGCAGTGGCACAGTCACAGCTCACTGCAGCCTTGACCTTCTGGGCTCAAGTGATCCTCCCTCTCAGCCTTCTGAGTAGCTAGGACTACCGACACATGCCACCGTGCCTGGATAATATTTTTTAAAAAATTGTTGTAGTGATGGGATCTCACTGTGTTGCCCAGGTGAGTCTTGAACTCCTGGCCTCAAGCTGTCCTCTCACTTTGGCCTCCCAAAGTGCCAGCCTTTTTCACTATTATTATATCTGTTATAAGATCTGTGGTCAGTGATCTCTGATGTTACTATTGAAAGTGTCCTGGTGCACCATGAACTGCGACCATATAAGATAGTGGACTTAATCAATGTTACGTATGCTCTGACTGATCACTGACCCCCATCCCGCATCTCTCCCCTCAGCCTCCCTACTTCCTGAGACACGGCAATATTGAAGTTAGACCAATTAATAACCTTAAAATAGCCTCTACGTGTTCAAGTAAATGGAAGAGGCACATGTCTCTCACTCTAAATCAAAAGCTAGAAATGATTAAGCTTAGTGAGGAAGGCATGTTGAAAGATGAGACAGGCTGAAAGCTGGGCTTGCACCGACAGTTAGCCACATCGTGAATGCAAAGTTTTTGAAGGAAAATTAAAAGTGCTACTCTAGTGAATACATGAATGGTAAGAAAGTGAAACAGCCTTATTACGGATATAGAGAAAGTTTGAATGGTCTGGACAGATAATCAAACCACCCACAACATCCCTTAAACCAAAGCCTAATTTAGAGCACTCTCTTCAATTCTAGGAAGGCTGAGGGAGGTGAAGAAGCTGCAGAAGGAAGGTTTGAAGCTAGGAGAGGTTGGTTTATGAGGTTTAAGGAAAGAAGCCATCTGCATAACATAAAATTACAAGGCAAAGCAGCAAGTGCTGATGGAGAAGCTGCAGCCACTGATCCAGAAGATCTAGCTAAGATGATTGATGAAGGTGGCTACACTACACAACAGATTTTCAGTGTGGATGAAGCAGCCTTCTGTTGGAAGAAGATGCCATCTAGGACTTTTTTTTTTTTTTTTTTTTTTTGAGATGGAATTTTGCTCTTGTTGCCCAGACTGGAGTGCAATGGTGTGATCTTGGCTCACTGCAACCTCCACCTCCTGGGTTCAAGCGAGTCTCCTGCCTCAGCCTCCCAGGTAGCTGGGATTACAGGTGCCTGCCACCACACCTGGCTAGTCTTGTATTTTTAGTAGAGATAGGGTTTCACAGTGTTGGTCAGGCTGGTTTCGAACTCCTGATCCCAGGCGACCACCCACCTTGGCCTCCCAAAGTGCTGGGATTACAGGCGTGAGTCACCATGCCCAGCCTCACCTAGAACTATCATAGCTAGAGAAGAGAAATCAGTACCTGGCTTCAAAGCTTCAAAGGATAGGCTGACTTTCTTGTTAGAGGCTAATGTAGCTGACGATTTTAAGTTAAAGCCAGCAATCATTTACCATTCCAAAAATTCTAGGGCCCTTCAGAATTATGGTAAGTCTACTCTGCCTGTGCTCTATAAGTGGAATAACAAAGCTTGGATGACAGCATATCTGTTTACAGAATGCTTTACTCACTATTTTAAGCCCACTGTTGAGACCTACTTCTCAGAAAAAAAAAAAGATTCCTTTCAAAATATTACTACTTGGCCGGGCATGGTGGCTCACACCTGTAATCCCAGCACTTTGGGAGGCCGAGGCAAAAGGATTGCTTGAGCCCAGGAGTTTGAAACCAGATTGGGCAACAGAACCAGACCCTCTCTCTTATTTTAAAAAGTAAAGTAAATAAATAAATAAAAGAATAAAAATAGGCCAGGCGCGGTGGCTCACACCTGTAATCTCAGCACTTTGGAAGGCCAAGGTGGGCGGATCACAAGGTCAAGAGATCGAGACCATCCTGGCCAAGATGGTGAAACCCCGTCTCTACTAAAAATACAAAAATTAGCCGGGCATGGTGGCACATGCCTGTAGTTCCAGCTACTCGGGAGGCTGAGGCAGGAGAATTGCTTGAACCCTGGAGGTGGAGGTTGCAGTGAGCCGAGATCGCACCACTGCACTCCAGCCTGGAGACAGAGTGAGACTCCATCTCAAAAAAAAAAAAAAATATATATATATATATATATATATATAAATAATAATAATAATAATAAAAATAAAGTAAAAAATAAATAAATAAACCCCCCCAAAAAACAAAATATTACTACTCATTGACAATGCACCTGGTCACCCAAGAGCTCAGATGGAGGTGTTCAAGATCAATGTTGTTTTCATGCCTATCATGCCTACTAACACAATATTCATTCTGCAACCCACGATCAATGAGTAAGTTTGACTTCCAAGTCTTACTATTTAAGAATTACATCTCATAAGGCTATAGCTGCCATGGATAGTAAATCCTCTGATGTATCTGGACAAAATAAATTGAAAACCTGGAAAGTATTCACCATTCTAGATGCCATTGAGAACATTCATGATCATGGGAGAAGGTAAAAATATCAACATTAGCAGGAGTTTGGAAGAAGTTGATTCTAACCCTCATGAATGGCTTTGAGGGATTCAAGACTTCAGTGGGGGAAATCACTGCACATGTGGCAGAAATAGCAAGAGAAGTAGAATTAGAAGTGGAGCCTGAAGATGGAACTGAATTGCCACAATGTCATGATAAAACTTGAATGGATGATAGCACTTTGCTTCTCATACATGAGCAAAGAAAGTGGTTTCTTTTTTTTTTTTCTTTGATGGACTCTCGCTCTGTCGCCCAGGCTGGAGTGCAGTGGTGCGATCTCGGCTCACTGCAGCCTCTGCCTCCCAGGTACAAGCAATTCTCCTGCCTCAGCCTCCCAAGTAGCTGGGACTACAGGCGCCCATCACCATGCCCGGCTAACTTTTTGTATTTTTAGCAGAGAAGGGGTTTCTCCATGTTGGCCAGGCTGGTCTCGAGCTCCTGACCGCAAGTGATCCACCCGCCTGTGACTCCCAAAGTGCTAGGATTACAGGCATGAGCCACCACACCCAGCGTTGCTTTCTTGAGATGAGATCTAATCCTAGTGAAGTTGCTGTCAATACTGTTGAAATAACAAAGTGTTTATCATATTACATAAATGCAGTTGATAAAGCAGTGGTAAGCTTTGAGAGGATTGACTCCAATTTTGAAAGTTCCACTGTGGGTAAAATGCTGCCAAACAGCATCGCATGCTACATTGAAATCTTTCATGGAAGGAATAGTTTCAGCAAGCTTCACTGTTGTCTTATTTTAAGAAACTGCCGGCCAGGCGTGGTGGCTCACGCCTGTAATCCCAGCACGTTGGGAGGCCGAGGTGGGCGGATCACGAGGTCAGGAGATTGAGACCATCCTGGCTAACACGGTGAAACCCTGTCTCTACTAAAAATACAAAAAAAAAAAAAAAATTAGCTGGGCATGGTGGCGGACGCCTGTAGTTCCAGCTACTTGGGAGGCTGAGGCAGGAGAATGGTGTGAACCCGGGAGGCAGAGCTTGCAGTGAGTTGAGATTGCGCCACTGCACTCCAGCCTGGGCGACAGAGTGAGACTCCGTCTCAAAAAAAAAGAAACTGCCACAGCCACCCCAGCCATCAGCAACCACCACCCCAATTAGTCAGCATCCATCAACACTGAGGCAAGACCCTCCATCAACAAAAAGATTATGACTTGCTAAAAGCGCAGATGATTGTTGGCATTTTTTAGCAATAAAGTATTTTTTAAATTAAGCTGGTTATATATTTTTTAGACAATGTGCAATGCTGTTGCACACTTAATAGACTACAGTATAGTGTAAACATAAGTTTTGTATGCACTGGGAAACCAAAAAATTCACATGACTCGCTTTACGGCAGGGGTCTGGAACTAAACCTACAGTATCTCTGGGGTGCGCCTGTATTTGGTAGTGGCAGCAACCAACCAAAGCCTTCTCTGTGTATATGAATCCAGAGGCATCAGACAGCCATCTGGTGACAGGTTGATTATGTCATGGAGGGGACAGTGATTTATTCTTTCTGTGACATGTTTGGGATTTGAATTTGCCTTTTCTACAAAGCCTCTGCCTGCAACACCACACATGGATATAACGAGTGTCATATGTATTTTCATGTTATCCCCACAAGATTGCTTCTAGCCAAGGAACTCACTTTAAAGCAAAAGAAGGTAACGAGGTGGTGGCTCACACCTGTAATCCTAGCACTTTGGGAGGCCAAGGTGGGCAGATCACCTGAGGTCAGCAGTTTGAGACCAGCCTGGCCAACATGGCAAAACCCCATCTATACTAAAAATACAAAAATTAGCCAGGTGTGGTGGCAGGTGCCTGTAGTCTCAGCTACTCGGGAGGCTGAGGCATGAGAATCGCTTGAACCCGGGAGGTGGAGGTTGCAGTGAACTGAAATCACGCCACTGCACTGCACTTCAGTCCGGGCAACAGAGCAAGACTCAGTCTCAAAATAAATAAATAAATAAATAAATAAATAAAAATAAGACAAATGGCTGATATACATGTAATTCACTAGCCTCATAGAATAGTAGCATGGACTTTTAAGGCTGCTATTTATTATGAGGGTAATCATAATTACTGGCTACCTAGGACACTTTTGGTATATACCTGCTGCTTGGGTGTAAATGTTAATAAAGCTTTATTTTACTCGCAGAAGTGCTCTGGTGTGGATGATTATATTATAAAGCTGTAAAGCTAGCAGGAAAGGTTATCTGTGAGGTTGGGGAATTCTCTTTGGATGAAGTAAATACTCTTGTCGGTGAGTAAGATTTGGAGGTGTTTCTCCCACAGCCAGAATATGGGAATCTAAGAACCAAAGTGATGGAACTGGGAGTGGAATTTCACGATTTCACTTATGGCCCCAGGAATGTACAGATAGAGATTGCTAAGAGCTCAGATTCCTTAGGAATGAAAATTGACAGCCTGGCCAACATGGCGAAACCCTGTCTCTACTAAAAACACAAAAATTAGCCGGGCGTGGTGGCACATGTCTGTAATCCCAGCTACACGGGAGGCTGAGGCAGGAGAATCTCTTGAACCCGGGAGGTGGAGGTTGCAGTGAGCTGAGATCACGCCACTGCACTCCAGCCTGGGTGACAGAATGAGAACCTGTCTCAAAAAAAAAAAAAAAAAAAAGAAAAGGAAAGAAAATTAAGGTTATTCTGCTAGGAAATAAACCTGAAATGCTGGCTAAAGACATAGTGAACATAGGTTAGAAAATGGAGAAAACAAAAAATACTAACTATAGCTTCAGGACCACATATAGATACTAGGAATATAGTATCTGTACTTATTTTCTACCTAGCTGTCATCTATTTGAACTGATCTTTCTTTCTCCCATTTCCCCTAGTCTTTTATTACATAAAACCTTACGGTGTGTTGGTAGTGGTAAACTCTGCCACCATAAAGGCCACAGGGTACAGAATAGGAAGGCAGGATCATGACAAAATTAGAGGAGGCCTGGGTGTCATTCAGACTTTGGACTTGGAGATAGATGCGATAAACTGTGAGACTTCAGTTTGTTCCCTTTTGGGGCCTAATAAGTACATTTGTGATTATTTACGGTTAATGACACTGTGGTAGGTGGAGGTATTTGGAAGTTGAACTTTTTGGAGAAGTAAATGATGATGTGGACTGTAGTGGACATTTGTTCTTTCAGTTGACTAATTTTCTTTTCATGAATGCAGTCTCTTGTTTAATCTGTGTATTGAGTTTTTAGTTAAGCTGATTATATTTTTCATTTTTAGAAATCTTCTCTGTTTCTTTCCAGGTCTTCTGGTCAGCTTGGATAGTTTCTTGGTCTTTCATCATACTTTCAGAGCTCTCTTATAAATAAATTTCAGCATTTAAGCTAAGATATTTTGTATTCTGTATCTAATAAACCCAGTATTGGAAGACTTTGTAGGTTGGTTTTGTGGATTGTTGTTTCTGTTGACCCTGGTTTGTGGTTTCTCCTTTTCTTATGTTTTGTTGGTTGGCGCTTTTCCTTTCGGGATTTTCTGAGGCTTGAGCTTAAAGCACAATCCTCCAGAGGGTATATACATTTGCTTCTGCTGAGCATATTGGAGGCACTCATAAGCTGGGGCCACTTTAAATTTTTGGCTAGATTATTATTCTTTTTGGACAGTCAGCTAATATGAAATCCAGGCTTAAATCTATTGAGTGTAGATTTACAGTTAAAACTCTTAGGGAATATATATATATATATATATATATATATATTTTATATATTTATATATTTATATAGATATATCTATATAGATATATCTATATAAATATATCTATATAAATATATCTATATAAATATATTTATATAAATATATATATAAATATATCTATATAAATATATCTATATAAATATATCTATATATAATATATATATTTTATAATATATATATTTTATATATATTTATATATATATTATATATATATTTATATATATTTTATATATATTTATATATATATTTTATATATATTTATATATATTTATATATATATTTTATATATATTTATATATATTTTATATATATATATTTTAATCTGGAGCCAAGATTGATTCAGGCATGTATCCTTGCCATCTTCCCTAAGGATTTTGCCCTTCAAAGCCTTAGGTTCTCTGATCTAATCTCTGTCTCTGCTAGGGCCTTACACTTGTCCTCCTTTGTCCTACATGTTGCCTTGTGATCCAGGTCACCAGGGATATGCAGATAACCCTAGGGGGGATAGAGTGTCTTTAGAGAACTCCAATAGGATCTAATGAATCTGTACTTTTTCGGAATTCCTGGCCTATAAATAATCCCCTCAGTTTCCTATCAATGTGGCCACGCATTTAAAAGGTGTATGTGTGTTAAACGTACTGTACAGGAAAGGTTTCCCCTGAACACTAAATCTGTCATATTGTAAGAAATAGAATGCTATTTATATTTTTTAGTTTCTAGCCTGAATTGTAGCCTATAAAATGATGTTCTTTCACTTGTTAAAATTTTATTTTTGGTTCACCATGAGATTATTGTAACTTACAGTGTTTCCCTAGGCACTGGAAGAGAATATGTGTGCTCTGTAGGTATTGTAAGATACAGCAGATTCTCCCCACGACCCACTCAATGTGCTTCTATTCTGAAGTGAATGAGAGATGGGAAACTGGAATCTTCCCTTTTCATAGCTGGTCTTAGTTCTGCTCAGCCTTTCACATGTGAACATCTTACACAACAAATATGATTGCAGTGTTAAAAGAGAAACAGCACCCATTTTTTCTACCACATGGCTTAAAATGTGGATCAAGTATTTGAACTGGGACAAAATGAAAGAAACAGCGATCTGTTGAAATGTTGGTGGAACTACTGGCTCTACTGGACTCACTGAGAGATGCTATTTCAGTTTCTAGCATGACACCTTTTACGAGAAATCAAAAGGAATTTCGGCCACATACAATAATATCCTTTTACAAACTGACTTTAGGTCCTAATTCCTGGATAAGCCAAGACTCCACTTTACTTATCTCTTGACTTAGGTTAATGAATAATTTTATTCACATTCTCCACTTGCTTATCTGTTTTATGACTACTTGATCTATCAGATTCTGAGAAAGATATATTAAAGTCTCCTAATAAAATTGTGGTTTTGTCATATGCTTACCCTGTTTCTAATAGTTTTAGTCTCATGTATTGTCTGGCTTTTTGTTGGGTGCATAAAATTCATGAATATTTTATCTTCCTTATGGATTATACCTCATATCACTATAAAATGTCATTTTTTAAATCCCATTTAATGTGTCCTATTGTCAGTGCACCTGTAGGCATCCTCTTACCTTCAAACTTTCCAGATGAGAATTAGGCATAATACGTGTTCTCCCATCCCCAAACCAGGAGGCCCCTGTTAGTTTCCCTGAGTGGTTTTCCGAAGCCCCCTCTTACTTGTGGGGAAGTATTCTTGTCCCCATGGCATTCGGAAAAGTCTCTTGGAAGAAATACTCTCCATTAGCCTTTCTTATGAACTCCCAGCCTTCTTTCAAAGCTGCCTTTGAATAGCTTAGGGGCTAATAGTGGAAATAACCAGTTTTGAGACACCCTCTTTTCAAATCCTGCATTGATTATCATGATTTTAGAACATGTTTAGGACCTCTCTGTTAGTGACAGTCACCTTTAAATATCCTGTTTTACTGCATTTTTAAAAATTAACTTTCTGTTTTTGTCTTCATTTTTCTTTTATTTGAAGAACTCAGTGGTCTGGCCCTTCCTCATCACCCCAAATTCCTTAACAGTGGGTGTCCCCCAAAGCCCTTCCATTCTCTATTTATAATCAGTCAGCTAACTTATGTATGCTCCTGGAATCCCCATAGAAGGTACCCACATCCGTATTGTTAACTTTTTATCATCAGCTCTTCCTTTCCACTCCAGGCCCAGATTAGAATTCTTAACTGTTTATAGGACATCTTTGCTTAGATGTCTCATTGTCCCCTCAAATTCAAAGTCAGAACTCTTATCTCAATACCTCACCCACAGAAAAACCACCCCATTACCTATTGTGGTCAAAGGAAATGCCACTATTTTAATCACCTGGCCTAGAAAACATGAAACTATATCGTTTCCTTCTTTACTTGCCACGTTAGATCAATAGAATCTCTCATCATTAGACTCTTTTTTCCCTTCTTTCCATTCTTACTGCCACTAGGCCTTCCTTTGACCTCTTTCCTTGTTAACGTCACTCTTCTCCATTATCCATGTAGAGCTTATTTTTACTTTTATTTTTATTTTTTTGAGATGGAGTTTCCCTCTTGTTGCCCAGCCTGGAGTGCAATGAATGGCGCAATCTCAGCTCACCGCAACCTCTGGCTCCCAGGCTCAAGCGATTCTCCTGCCTCAGCCTTCTGAGTAGCTGGGATTACAGGCATGCACCACCACACCCAGCTAATTTTGTATTTTAGTAGAGACAGTTTCTCCATATTGGTCAAGCTGGTCTTGAACTCCCAACCTCAGGTGATCCTCCCGCCTTGACCTCTCAAAGTGCTGGGATTACAGACGTGAGCCACCGTGCCTGGTCTATTTTTCTTCTGCACCATTCTTTCTGCTATTCTCAGGCTAATTTCCCTAGAACTATGCTTTCATCACACCGTTTTCCTAGTGAAGACACTAATGAAGGTCTCTAGGACATGGGCTGAAATTTACTTAAACATTATGAATTGCTGTAAGTTTGTCTCCTTCCTTTGTTTTCTACCTTCCCCATTCAGAGCACTTTCTGCCTTCCTTTGCGACTCCACAAGCCATAGACAATATGCTAACCTTTTGCTAACGTTTAGCTCCATTCCGTTATTAGTGTGATTTCTTTCACTGGAAGCGTCTGTCTCTGTCTTCTGGCAATGTAAATTCTACTGATGTTCTGTGTTCTCCAGAAAGTTTTCTTTTACTGCTCAAAATAGCATTAATCTTTCCCATCTCTGAATTACTATTGTGCCTGTCAATAATGCAAATAATTATATTTGAAAAATACCTCCTGTATTTTGCTCTGATTTAACTTTTCTTGGCTTTTATGTGCATCCCTCCCCCAACTCCTCCTTCTCCAGGCAGCTTAATTGTAAATACCTTGAAGGATGAGACTGTGCCTATATTTGGATCTTTCATGGCAACTGAACCCAGGAAAGTCCTCAGAATGTAATTGTAAATTGATTAATTTAATTAACACAACATAAAATCTTCTACCCACATAGAATGTTTCATGTGATTGCTACAAAATGAAAAAGCAAATATGTAAATAACAAGAATAACAATGATTGAATGTATAGGATGCATCAAATTAAAAAAATAAAGATTTTGAAGAACTAATGCTAACACTATTACAGTAACACATATATTCACCTATAGTTTGGATCCAGGATCTTCACACGAAATACATACATTCCAGAATGGCCCATGGGCCAAAATATATGGTTACCATTAGAACTGTTGATAATCTCGTATGGTTGATTTAAGTCTCCTGGTTTTCCAATAGCATAAGAAAAACAGTGTTTATAGTTCTGAACAAGAAACAAAGACAAAAATTTTAAGGTCATTTTATGACTTTGATACGCAAAATTATAGTCTCATTTATCTTGGAAAATTATTTAGAGATGTAATGGCTATTCCCTTCTATTTTACCCCTGCAGTGCTCTTTATAGCACTTTAAGAGCGATACTGGGTTAAACTTTGATAAAAAGTGAAGCTTAGTGAAAGCAAATGTTGTATTTACAAACAATTACATTAGAGTGTTGAGAATATGTAAGCATATTATTTTCCTAAATCAACAAAATACAAAATGTTCCAAAGATGCTTAATTGGGGACAGAAACAGTTTTGATCATAAGGTACAGACACAACAGTCAAGATGGTACATCCTTGGGTTTTTATCTTGCCCTAGGATCTTCATTTAGCCCCATTACCATTACCATGTCTTTCTGTGGGTCTCAAGATACAAACTATCTCCTGCCTGCCTTTTTAAAAACACAGATGAAACAAGCCTGTATTTTTAAAAGTTACTCTGTTAAAACAAATACAATGAAAGAAAATGATTATTAAAACTGGCAGATACCTGATCCTACTATTACATGGCACTGGTTCTGGGTCCTCTTAGATCCTGTATGTTTTCACACCCTACTTAAAGGACTCTTCTTCTACCATTCTTGCTCTCTGAAAGCTTCTCATTTGAAGGAAACAGGAAGCCTTGTAAGGCAATTACTTTGGATGTGTCTGAGCTTTTGTCTATCAACATCCTTCAAGGTTACTATGGTTTGAATGCATCCCTCAAAGTTCATGTGTTGGAAACTTGATCCCAAAAGTTGAGATGGAAAGTGAGGTCTAATTGGTCCCACCAGGAGTTTGGATCACAGGGGCACTACCTTCATCAATGAGATAATGCCGTTGTCACGGAGTGGGTTCCTTATAAAAGGATGAGTTCAGCCTCCCTCGCCTGCCCTCTCACTCGCCCTCACCCTCTCTCTCCTTTTGCCTTCTGCCATCTGATGATGCAGCAGGAAGGCCCTTGCCAGATGCCAGCTCCTTGATCTTGGACTTCCCACCCTCCAGAATCATGAACCAATAAATTTCTGTTTATTATAGATTACCCAGCCTCTGGCATTCTGTTATAGCAGCACAAAATGTACTCAGAAAATGGTATTTTCTTTTTTCTACGTATTTTGAAATATTCCTCCTTCATGAACATCTTCCCAGTCAATAGAGCTTTGCAATCAATCAGCTCTTGCACAGTCTCAAAGAGACTTCCTCATGGCAACTCTATGGACAAAAATGTTATCATGATTAGATGGCAATAACGATAAGCTCTAGAGGGAAGCTTATTGCTTACTGCTGTATCCTCAGTCTGGCACACAGTAGTCAAGATACATTTGTTGAATTAATCTGTGTTTTGTTTTGTTTTGTTTTTAGGGATGGAGTCTCGCTCTGACACCCCGGCTGGAGTTCAGTGGCATGATCACAGCTCACTGAAGCTTCGATCGCCCAGGCTGAAGCAATCTTCCTGCCTCAGCCTCCCTAGAAGTTGGGACTACAGGCATGTGCCACCATGCCTGGCTAATTTTTTACTTTTTTTTTTTTTTTTTTTTTAGGAGATGGGGGTCTCACTATATCGCCCAGATTTCTGTCGAACTTCTGGACTTAAGCAATCCTCCCTCCTCAGCCTCCCAAAGTGCTGGGATTACAGGTATGAGCCACAACATTTGGCCTGAAATTTTTGAAAATTGTTTTATTCAGATGCGAGGTACAGTTCTGATTATGCCTGCCGTTACTTACCTGGATATCATGAAATGTGAGGATACAGACATATCCTACATACTATTACTTCCATTCCAATAATCAATTACAGTCATGTACTGCATAGCAATGTTTTGGTCACTGACAGAACACATATACAATAGTGGTCCCGTAAGATTACAGTGGAGCTGAAAAATTCCTATTGCACAAATACTTACCATTTCCTTACGTTATTCACTATAGTAACATGCTGTGCGTGTTTGTGGCCTGGGAGCAATAGGCTCTATCATATCGCCTAGTTATCTAGTAGGCTACACCGCCTACGTTTGTGTAAGTGCTCTCTGTGATGTTTGCATAATGACAAAATTGCCTAACAAAGCATTTCTCAGAACATATTCCCATTGTTAAGTGATGTATGACTGTATTCTTCATTTATTCTAGGAGATGAAATAGTCATCAAGGTCTGCAGCTAATTTAACAGTATAACTTTAATTAAAGAATTCCAGTAGCACCTGTTCCTGAGAGCAATGTTTGTGGATATTTGTCTTTTTTTTTTTTTTTTTTGGTCTGCCCAAAGTCCATTGTCATTTTTAATAGAATGCTGATTCCTTTTGGATATCATCAGAGTGAGGGTAATTCCAAGTCCCCACCTTTCATTCCAGAAGCTGACAGGCACAGATTCTTTTGTTCCCAACCCCAGGACATAGCTGGGGTGGTGGCGGGGCAGCTCTACCAATCTCCCAGGAATATGAATTAACAATGAGGGCTGCAACAATGAGAGGAATGTTTAGAGGTCGTTCATCAGAGTGCCAGTGCCCCAGCCAGGTTGAAGGACAATTGTTTGGAGTAATAAAATTTTAGGTTAAAATGCATTCCAGATAAAAATGTAACATGTTACGTAACTGAATTCAGAGTAATATGTGTAGGCCATCAAGATGAGGAGGAGTTTTACATGCATATATTACATGGTAAAAATGAAAATAAAAAAATTAATTTTAAAAATAAGAAAAAAGATGAGGAGGAGAAGGTTGCTTACCCTTTATATTCTGGTAACCACAAGTGTGATTGGAGCCAAAAACCCAGTCTGACTAAATGGAGCAGAAGGCCCACTTGATACTGAGCTGTGTGTACACCCCTGGCTGGTTGCCTTGGCTGTGGGTTCCCTCCTCGTGTTAATGATACTGTGATATGAAACAGCAGAGGAAGTAAACAGTAACCAGGGACAGAGAACACATGTGTTCCCGCTCGACTCGGACAGACCTCTGGGAAAAGTTTGGAAGATGTTTGTATAAAAAGCAAAGGAGGAGATCACAAGGTGGACAGAGTTTTGTTGTGCGTAGAGTTGTATGGACCTGTACTGTCAAGGAACTTTCAGAGAAAACAGGCTTGTCATAGATTCTTTGGCTTCAGTTAGAGTCACTGTAAAGAATCTAAGTGTGTTGTGTGCTCATGTTGCTATACCTGCCCTGTCTGTGGCAGTCTTTCCGGAAAGGAAACTCCAAGGAAGGAGGGGAGAGACTCAACAGCTTGACTCACGTGCAGGGTGGTGCCAGCTGCAGAAGCTCTAGGAACACAGCTTGAGCGACCTGTGCTGAGTTGCGGAGGCTTTCACTGTGTGTTAGTTTGTTTTCTGTTGCTTTTAACAGAACACCTGAAATGGAGTAATTTATAAGGAAAAGGAATTCATTCCTTTCCAAGGAGGCTGAGAAGTCCAAGGTCGAAGGGTTGCATCTGGTGAGGGCCATCTTCCTGGTGGGGACTCTGCAGGGTCCCAAAGTGTCACAGGACATCACATGGCAAGGGGGCAGAGCACGATAGCTCAGGTCTCTCTTCCTATTGTGATAAAACTGCCGGTCCCACTCCCATGAAACCCACAAATCCATTATCCCATTAATCCACTAATCTATGAATGGATTAATCCATGTATGGGGGCTCTGCCTTCATGATCCAATCACCTCTTAAATGCTCCCCCTCTCAATGCTGCTGTACTGGAGATGGAATTTTAACATGAGTTTTGGAAGGGACAAAAATTCAAAACATACTACCAGAACTGACTAATCATCCAGGGAAGGATTTTTGAAGGATTCTTGTATACAGGCCACTGCATCCTTAGTTTGATAAAAGGCCAGGTTCAGGAGTAGGAACTGAGGAACAGAAGCCTCAATGGACACAGATCAGGACTAGTTATTGTAAGGGGAGGGATAAAGGTTGAATATTGCCTTCTCACTGAAAATTCCTCTATTTCCCTTCTTAGCAGGTCATTTTATTTTATGTAGGTGAATTATCCTATAATTACATTTTAATCATAAGTGGCATCCCTAAAACTCTTGATTATATTTAATTTAAAAATATTACTATATGTCTCGATAAACTCTGACGTTGTTTTTCAAAAAATCTGTTTCTTCTAGCATTTCTTGCCGTTGTCTACCTTTTTGCCATTGTGGTCTGTAGCACTTTTATAAAACAATATGTTGGGTTAATGAAAAATAAGTAAAAGACTTGTTTTTTTGATGTATCCCCACTTGAAAATACAAAATATATTTTTTGGTGAAGGGTTCTTCCAGGTCAAAAATAAACTGTGAAACTTGTCCTACCAAGTTACTTAATACATGGGTCCATGAACTTAATTGGAAAAGTATGTGGTATATTCTAAGTATGTTTGGAAGCTGTGCATATATCATACAACAAAGCATTGCTAGTAAAGACCTAATAGCCTTGTATCATTATGTATTTTTGTATATAGACATGCAGGAATATTTATATTGTTTCCTATTTCCTTATTTCCTAATGTGAATGATGATACCTGCTGACTCTTGCTCCTTTTTCTGTGTCACTGCCAGAAAGATATCACTGCCTGATATTCCCTGTTATATTATTAAAACTTCCCCCTCTCCCGCCATTATTGTTTCTTCTCCCATCTTTTTTCATGCGAAAGCCCACTTGATCAAATCACCCAGTCACTTAGAAAACAAATCTCCTGGCCGGGCGTGGTGCCGCGCCTGTAATCCCAGCTACTTGGGAGGCTGAGGCAGAAGAATTGCTTGAACTCGGGAGGCAGAGGTTGCAGTGAGCTGAGATTGCACCACTGCACTCCAGCCTGGGCAACAAGGGGAAACTTCATCTCAAAATCAATCAATCAATCAATCTCCCCTAGCCTCATGCATTATACTCAATTTTTAGCCCAGGACTTCCCAGTCTAGTATTTTCAGCCACATCGAGAAACTCAAATCGGATTCTGTATCGTGTGGATGTAGACAAGCACTCAGCACCCATATTCTCCCTTTCCTTCTCAACCTCCAACCTTACCAGGAGAACCTGTGAAAATGCCACGCTTGCTTATGAGTCCTTCAGTGTTTTCCCTAAGAATTTACAGTCCCAGAGCTTCTTCCCTGATTTTTTTAAAATGTAGGTGTCGTTCATCCTTCTAGAATCAGAAGGACTATGTAGCAATTAGTGTAGCTCCAAGAACTGGAAGGCTTTCTATTTCATTTCAGGTATACGTTTCAGGAAGAAAGCAGCCCTGATTGCCCTGTTGAGTTAAGATACAACGTAATAATGACACCCTTCAGTAAGAGTAGACTTACTCACGAGGACATAACTAGTCTTTGCAGGTACCTGCTTTCTATTATATTCAGACTTCAGACTGAATTCACCCTTTCAGTGGTAAGCTTTAAGCTTCTCATGTAGTAGAATGGAACACGCAGGGCCTGGCGTGGGCACTCCAGAGTCTTTCTAGACTGTACGCTACTATTTCAATTGCTCTGAAACGCAGTCCCCAGATCAGCATATCAGTATCATTGAGGTGCAAATTTTTGGGCCCCAACCAAGACCTGCTGAATTAGAAACTCTGGGAGTGGGACCCAGCCATCTATTTCAACAAGGTCTTTTGGAGATTCTGATGTATGCTAAAGTTTGAGAACCATTGTACCATATCATACCAATTGAGGCAAGCTTCATGATTGTTAATTACCCAGTGAGCTCACTGCTTCTTTGGAGTATGTTATTTCGGCAGAATCTTAGAATATTTAGGTGCCTTTTGTAAGATTTGGGGATATCATCCTCACCTATCATTTATCCCTGTCCCTAACTCCAGACCCTTGGATGTCCTTCAATGAAAAATCAGGAGGGTAAGTTTCGTTTTAACTGATTTAATTACCAGTTTAATTCCTTATGATTTTTATTTTTTAATTTGATTTTTTTTTCTTTTTTGAGACAAGGTCTCACTGTGTCACCCTGGCTGGAATGCAGAGGCATGATCATGGCTCACTGCAACCTCAGCTGTCGGGGCTCAAGTGATCCTCCCACCTCAGCTTCCTGAGTAGCTGGGACTACAGGCATGCACCACCAGGCCCAGCTCATTTTTTTTTTTTAATTTTTGTAAAGATGGGGTCTTACCATGTTGCCCAGGCTGGTCTTGAACTCCTGGGCTCAAGTGATCCACACGCCTCGGCCTCAGAAAGTGTTAGGATTACAGGTGTGAGCCACCATGCCTGGCCCCCTTATGATTTTTAAACAGTAGAAAAGTACTCTTTATAATAGGTATATGATCTATAATTAATTAATTTGGTCCACAAATATTTAATGAGCACCTATAATGCATTAGATGCAGTGAACAAAACAAAATTTCCCTCATGGAGCTTACATTCTAGTAAGGGAGCTAGAAAATAAATAAGATTTTGAAAGTAGGCTATGTAATGTGTCATAGTTATAAACGCTAATGATATTAAATAAAATAGGGGAGGGAGGCTGGGTGCGGTGGCTCACGCCTGTAATCCCAGCACTTTGGGAGGCTGAGGCAGGTGGATCACTTGAGGTCAGGAGTCAAAACCAGCCTGGCCAACATGGTGAAATGCCGTCTCTACTAAAAACACAAAAATTAGCCAGGCGTGGTGGCACATGCCTGTAGTCCCAGCTACTCAGGAGGCTGAGGCAGGAGAATCACTTGAACCTGGGAGGTGGAAGTTGCAGTGAGCAGAGATTGTGCCACTGCCCTCCAGCTTAGCAGCCTAGGCAACAGAGAGAGACTCTGTCTCAAAAAAAAAAAAAAAAGGAAAGAAAATAGGGAGAAATATGCGCTTTCATGAAAGTGATGGTTAAGTTTTTCCATATGGTGGCCAGGGAAGTCCTCATTGACAACTTGATTTTTCAGTAAAGACCTGAGGTTAATGTAAGGGAGCTAGGTCGTCTTTACAAAGACTCACTCTTGATGCTTTCACATGTTTAACACATATTTAATAATCTGCAAACACATATTTACAGCAGTGAAAATTAAAATAGTAACACAGAACCAACAAAAGATCACACAGAAATTAAGATGAAGCATTTTAAAAATACCATGATACAATTTAATATAAAAATAGGATTTGATTTACCAAAGCAAATTTAAATCCAAAATGTTTCCATCAAGTTTTTGTTAATAGCAAAATGCCAGATTAGTTATTCCAAATAAACAATCTGGAAGGTAATGTTTCTCTTACCTCAGGTCCCCAGACTTCTTCTAGTGGGAGGTGCTTGTTAAGTTCAATCATTGACTTCCATGTCTGTGCTTCATGTAAACAACCACTCTGTCAAAAGATGGCACATGTATGTGGGTAGGTAGAAGTTTTCATATCAACTTATTCCTAAGTATTTAATGTTTTGTTGCTATTGAAAATTTTGTATTTTTAAAACTTACATTATTTAAATGTTGGCTGGTATACAGAGGAATAATTGACAATTGATTTTTGTATATTGATCTTGTGTTGAGAGAATTTTTTTTTGAGACAGAGTCTCACTCTGTTGCCCAGGCTGCAGTGCAGGGAAGATCATAGCTCACTGCAGCCTCGAGCTCCTGGGCTCAAGTGATCCTCCTGCCTCAGCCTCTCAAGTACCTAGGACTACAGGTGTGTGCCAGCATGCCTGGCTAACTTTTAGTTTTTTAATTTTTGTAGAGATGGAGCCTCGCTATGTTGCCAAGGCTGGCCTCGAACTCTTGGCCTCAAGCCATCTTCCTGCCTCAGCCTCCCAAAGTGTTGGGATTACAGGCATGTGCTTGGCCGAGAGAATTTCTAAACTCACTTATTAATTCTAATTGTTTCACATGAACAGTTGTGTCATCTGCGAATATGACAGTTTTATGTTTTTCTTTCCCATCCTTATACCTTTTATTTGTTTTTATTATTTTTTTCTTATTACAAAGATCTTCAGGAATAGTGTTGCCTAGAAGTGGTGATAACACCAGAGGTCAGGAGTTCGAGACCAGCCTGGCCAACACAGTGAAACCCTGTCTCTGCTAAAAATATAAAAATTAGCTGGGTGTGGTGGCGTGCACCTGTAACCCCGGCTACTCGGGAGGCTGAGGCAGCAGAATTGCTTGAACCTGGGAGGCAGAGGTTGCAGTGCGCCAAGATCACGCCACTGCACTCCAGACCGGGCGACAGAGTGAGACTCTCTAAAAAAAAAAAAAGGAAGTGATAAGGGCCATCCTTGTTTTCTTCCTGATTTCAAAGTGAAAGTTTTCAAATTTTTACCATTAAATATAATGTTTGCCATAATGTTTTGTATCTACATTTCATTAGGTGAAGGATGTTTCTATCTATTCATAATTTTCTAAGATTTATTTATTTATTTGTTTGTTTAGAGACGGAATCTTGCTCTGTTGCCCAGGCTGGAGTGCAGTGGTACAATCTCGGCTCACTGCACCCTCCACTTCTTGGGTTCAAGCGATTCTCCTGCCTCAGCCTCCCGAGTAGCTAGGACTACAGGTGTGTGCTACCACACCCAACTAATTTTTGTATTTTTAGTAGAGACAGGGTTTCACCATGTTGGCCAGGCTGGTCTTGGAGTTGACCTCAAGTGATCACCTGCCTCAGCCTCCCAAAGTGCTGTAATTTTTTTCTGAAAGTGATCAGCTCCAAGATAGGAATTGAGCAACTCAGACACAGGCATGGATAAAGCAGAAAGATGAGTGTTTAAAGTTGCCCTAACAGCAAGCAGAAATAATACTGGGAAAAATGAGATACAGATAGAGATACAGAGAAATCGATATTGGCAAGATGGTGCTAGAGAATTGAACTATGGAGCTCACGCTGCATAGGAAGGGAAGGGAGGAAACGTGAGAGAGAGGGAGAAGGAGAAAGCAGAGGGTTCAGTACAGCAGATGGCCAGGTTGTGTGAGACAAAGTAGGAGACTGGAGTAGTGTGAATAACAATGAGATAGCTAAAGGATTGGGGGTTGAGGTCAGAGGGTAAACTGTTTGAACTGAAATGCAATTTTTTTTTTTTTTTTTGAGACAGGATCTTGCCCTGTCAACCAGGATGGAATGCAGTGGCATGATCACAGCTCACTGCAGCCTTGACCTCCTGGGCTCAAGCAATCCTCCCGCCTCAGCCTCCTGAGTAGCTAGGACTACAGGTGTGCATCACCACACCTGGCTAATTGAAAAATTTTTGTGTGTGGAGAAGGGGTTCCACTATGTTGCCCAGGCTGGTCTCAGACTCCTAGGCTCAAGCGATCATCCCGCTTCAACCTCCCAAAGTGCTGGGATTATAGGTGTGAGCCACCATGCCCTGTCCTTAAATGTAGTTTTAATGGGGGCTGCTATATTAGTTATTAGTCAAGATAGTCTCTACGTGCTGCAATAATACACCCCAACTCTCAGGGGATTTACAAAATACAAATTTAATTCTTTTTAAAAAAATTATTATTATTATTTTTTTAGACGGAGTCTCACTCTGTCACCCAGACTGGAGGGCAGTGGCGCGATCTCAGCTCACTGCAACCTCCGCTTCCTGGGTTCAAGCGATTCTCCTGTCTCAGCCTCCTGAGTAGCTGGGATTACAGGTGTGTGCCAGCATGCCCAGCTAATTTTTTTATTTTTAGGAGATATGGGGTTTCACCATGTTGGTCAGTCTCAAACTCCTGACCTTGTGATCGGCCTGCCTCAGCCTCCCAAAGTGCTGGGATTATAGGCATGAGCCACCGTGCCTAGCCAACAAGTTTAATTCTTGATCACATATAGCCCAGTGCAGATGTCCCTGGTTAGATGGTTCTGACGGTGCCTCTCCTCAAAGCAGTGAATTAGGAACCAAGGCTTTTAAAAATGTGTAGTGGCTCCTTGCATTCCAGCTCTCATCTACTCCAGCCTTACTTGTTGCTGTAATACACTGATGTGAGGTATGATGGAAAGCGTGAAGGTTCACGTGATTCCTTCTTAAGCACTTCACCTGGAAGTGACACCTATGACTTCTGCTCATATTCCAGCCATGCGAACCAGTCATATGGCCCCAGCTAGATGCAAATGCATCTGGGAAACGTAGTCCCTGTTTAGAAACTTTCCCAGCAATACCCTCATAGGATGGATGGCAGAATTCAGGAATCCATGGTGATTGTTTTCAGGGCAGGAGGAAAAGTGATCCAGTTCTGAGTATACGGTACCAGTAAGTAGGGATGGCATAGATGTCAACTGAATGGCAGGAGCCTCAAACAAATGGAGTTTTACTTAGAGTGAAGAGAGAATGACCTGGAAATGATACTGTATCTCTTAGTGGCCTTTTGGCTAAGACCAAGTGCAGCAATGATACTATGGATGAGGGAGAACATCAACCCCAAATCTCACCCTTAAGTATATGGGGTGAGAGAAAGAGTACTCTTGGTTCGATAGAACTGTAGGGAAAGGGTTGTCCTCTGAGGAACTTTTATTGAAGAAGGATCTAGAGCGTTTAACCTTGAGGCATAATGGAAAGGTTTGAGAAGGAAGAGAGTGATGGGAGTCTGGACCAAGGGAGAAGATGGATACAATAGTATAGGGATGAGACTGTGCAGAGGAAGCAGACCAGGAGAACTTACATATTAGGTGCTGAACAAGCATAGGTGGAATGTGTGGTGGGACGGATGTATTTGGTTACATAACTGAAAGACAATTGCCAGTCACGGTGGCTCACGCCTGTAACCCCAGTACTTTGCGAGGCCGAGGCGGGTGGATCAATTGAGGTCAAGAGTTCGAAACCAGCCTGGGCAACATGGTGAAACCCTATCTCCACTAAAAATACAAAAATTAGCCAGGTGTAGTGGCATGTGCCTGTAGTCCCAGCTACTCAGGAGGCTGAGGCAGGAGAATCGCTTGAGCCCAGGAGGTGGAGGTTGCAGTGAACTGAGACTGCACCACTGCACTCCAGCCTGGGCAACAGAGCGAGACTCTTAAAAAAAAAAAAAAAAAGCAAAAGAAAGAATTCTTGCAATACTCTGGGGGATGGCAGGTGGAACTCAGTTCTCTTGGCTGCCATCTAGATGGGTTATACTTCTGGATAATTAAGGTGTCTGGTAGATAAGAACATTACTTCGGAAAGAGCCATCCCTGTTTTTTGTGTTTTTTTTTTTTGCGAGTGAAATCTGTGGGGAATATTAGAAATCAGTGCTGGTAACTTCTAGAGAGGCTCCATCATGACAGGAGGCCCTCAGGGCAGGAAGGCCCACACAGGGAGGGGAAATGTGTTGATTGGGAGTGGTAAGACCACTCTGCTGCGGCCTACAAAGTGAAAGGATAGAATAAGGGAGATTCACCAAGGAGGCCAAGAGCAACCAGTCCTGGCGGGTGGAAGGAAGCCGGGAGAGTGTAGGGACACTGAAGCCAAAGTCAGCAGGGTCAAATGATGCAGGGAAGTCAAGTGAGACGAAGCCCAGAGTGTCCGTTTGACTTAGTGCACAAGTGATAAATGTCCTAAAGCCAAAGGCAGACCCATAAATAATCAAACACTGAATACAGTTTGGAGAGAAAAGAAGACTCATAGAGTTGCATCATCCTACTATAAATGTTATTTTTTTTCTGACCCCTTTATGTCTGTCTTATGTGACAACTTCTATTTTTCATAAATGAATTTTAGTAGCCATATAATTTAATCTAGAGGTGATTTTTTTCCTACCCACTGCTGCCTTATTCTATTTTCCTTAGATCGCTTATTTATAAATTTAAAACAGGAAGACATTGTCTAGTTGCATGCTAAATTCTGGTTAAATCCAAAGATGCCATACCTGTGCCATAGTATTATTAAAGCTATAGTCATCCCTGCCGTGTATTTCCCACACTATGAAATTTGCTTCAACGTCTTTAACATAGCCATTATCATCAAATCTGAAAGAAACAACAAACAGAAAGATACTAGTTTAATATAAAATAGAGGGGTTAAGAGTTCCAGCTTCTGAGTCAGAAGTGCTTAGGTTTAAATCCTGTCTTTATCACTTCATAAAGTGATAAAGTAACTCTGGGGGAGTTACTTAAACTCTTGAAGCCTTGATTTTTTTTTCTGTAAAATAATAACAGTACCTATTGTTTAGGTGTCTTTTGACAGCTGGATGAAATAAACAGATGTTCTTTCATTCAGCTCTCAAAATAAAACCTGATAGTAATGAAGGAGAAATGTTTTACTTTTTGGACATTTGGAACTCTAAGTTCTCTTCACTGGACAGGGTCCATCTGTTGATCAGGTGAGGGTAGCTTAGGTACTGCTGTCATGGGTGTTAGCAGGGAGAAAGACGGAAGGATGTGATGGATGGAGAAAGGGCAGAGCAAGGGCACAGCAGGATGCCCTGTTGTCTTTTAGCTCATATATTCATTTGCTGCCTATTATGTACTAGATGTACTAGAGAATGAAACCACAGAATTACTATGATGAGAACGGAGATGCTGCAGATCCCCCTAGGAGGAACCAGCTGGAAGGTGTGGCTGAGTCTGGAAGGATCAGTGGTGTCAGTAAGTCGAGGTGAGGCTGAGAAGCAGACGTAGCCTGTACGCTCCCTGGATCTATAGTCACACCTAGCCCATGCTCAGAGAATGCAAGACGACTTCTACCAACAGCAGACACCAGCAAGGGGAGTGCAAGATGGACCGGCTACCCCTGCCTTGATGCTACAGCTGGAGACACAGGTCCCATTGGGCTTATTTACCGCAAACTCAGTAAGTGTTCAAAAGAGCTGTAGTGCTTCATATTAATATTTTTCTCCCTGCTACCATGTGAACATAGAGGCTTGAAATCAGAGCTAAAAGTTCAATTCTTGATAAAGTCGTGCCTTTGCACACCAGAACTTGTGACCGTAAGAATGGTTACATGTTTTCCTTCTCCGTCAGTTACTCCCATATTTCTGAATGAAATTGTCCCCCATGCCTGTTGGGTAGAATTTCACTTAGGACCTTAGTGTCAGGCACTTGCTTCGAGGCTGCTGGCTCTGGGACTGTCGCCCCACCTTCTCCTTCTGGTAGAGCTTCTTGCTGCACTCACTGCTCTGTGTCTATCAGACAAAATAACAGGTCCTTGACAGTGTCTCCTGACTCACTGCCCCATCTCTGCTTCACCTCACATTTGTATCTGGCCTTCTAGGTCTGCTACAGCTTGCTAACACCCAACCCTTGTTATTAAAAGCATTTATTGTCCCATTCTCACAAACTGGGGACAAAAATTTTAAATGTCAAAAAGTGGTACCTGAGAAGTTATTTTCTTTCCATCCTATTTAGTTTTGAGACGTCATGAAGAGATGAACTCAGAAGGTTAGTTCTCAAACAGGCATGACTAGCTAGGGATTGGAGGATTGGTGTTTGGCTTCTTTTCTGATGGGGAGGAAGGCCACAGAGTATTCAAAAACTCTACTGAGAGCTCTGGGACCCTTTCGCAACAGACAAATGCACACATGTGCAGGCATACATGTATTTTTGTATAGTTTCAGAGATTTGGGTCAGGCTTTAGCAAAGCTCTAATTCTAGGAGCTTTGGAAAGAACAGAATGTTTGCATCTTCCAAAAGTCATCAGACTATTGAATTATTACCATTTATTGGTATTTTAGAGATGGGGTCTTGCTCTGTTGCAGAGGCTGGAGTGCAGTGGCACAATCATAGCTCACTATAACCCCTAATTCTTGGGCTCAAGGGATCCTCCTAACTTTAGGACTACAGGTATGTGCCACCACACCCAGTAAATTTTAAAATCTTTTGTAGAGATGGGGAGTCTCACTATGTTGTCCAGCCTCATCTTGAACACCTGGCCTCAAACCACCCTCCTGCCTCTGATTCCCAAAGCACTGGGATTACAGGTGTGAGCCACCATGCCTGGCCAGATTCTTACATTATTAAGAACTAGTTGCAAGCCATATGTTTTATTAAAAAAAAAAAAAAATCTTAATTGAACTGAGCTGGCATCTTTTGCAAGAGCAATATGCTACAGTGCCATCTAGTGGCAATAAGTGTAAATTACATGACCCATAATTTCTGGGTTTGTAAAGATCTTTTACAATGATGTTTAATTTATATCATTGAATATATTTGAAAAAATACTTGTCTATATAAGCATGGCTTATTTTCATGAATGTTCTTTAATGTAGGGTATAATACTAATTAAGCCTAAGAAATGCAGAAATGTTACTAGTTGGCAGCTCTTCCTTGCAATTTGTAACCTCCCCACAGTGGTAGTTCCATTTTGGGAATTGGGAAAGAGACCTCTCTGTGCACCTGCAAACCTATTAGACAAATCCTTGTGGCTATCCCATTGTATTAACCACGACTTTAATTTTCTGTATTCTGATGCCATAACTTCTGGGGCCTTGCTGACTCTAGGGGGTCTGCGGAAGGTTAGCCAATTCCTAGAGATAGTAACCAACTCTTCCAGGAGCCCCTGCCTATGAAAGGGGGTTCTTTATTAGTAGCCCTGGGCTACTATCCTCCTACCCTCATCACCCCAGAGGCAGACACACTACAACCAGGGAGAGTCCCTAGTCCCCAGAGCCCCATTGAAATTATTCAAAGTAGCCAATTTCAAACATGCTTACCCTGCCTCTCCTATTCCTTCCCACAGAAACTGCAATAAGGCTCTGCCCACATTTCCCCCTCACTCCCTCTGCCTCCTGACTGACCCTGATGTTTCCATGTGTGGCCCCATGGAGCATGCCTTGCCCCCAGTTTCTAGGGATCTGTATGTATAATGCACTTCCTTCCTGATGGCCATTTCCGCGTCTGTATATCTTACCGTACCTGACTAAAGCGAATCCTCAGGACCCTTAAAACACCCAGAATATCTGTTCCTGAACTCCCTGCAGGGTAACAAAGAAATCCTGCCCCACTGTTTCCTCTAGGGCTGCTTCTGTGGCACTGAATTCTAGTTTGGGATTGGAGCGTGATAGACTCATCATCAAATGCTAGTAAGTGTGGGGCAAGCCCTGGGACTCTGAATCCAGCTGTGATGACTTGGGTTCCCAGCTAGATCACACTCCCAGGGCTGGCTTCCTTCTTATGAGTGTTGGACAGTCAGTCTATTGTCCTTTTATCGGTAAAACTCTGCCGAGCCTTGTACCTGAGCCATTCCCTATAACGTTAAGGCATTTATTGTAATCCAGAGACCTAGACTATGGGCTAATTTCCCGGTGGCCACCCCTGCCGCTGATTCTCAAAGCTTGATTGATTCAAGTCTGCCAGAGTCTCAGAGTGAGCAGCTAAATTCACCTCTGATGAATACCTGATCGGATACCTGGTTTTCAACTATGTATACTATAATTCAGTGGAACTGGACAATGGACCTTACCCATTTGTCCCTCTGTCGTTGACCTCTAGTATTCAGTTCATTATCTTAGGATAATTGGAAGTAAAAGGTTTTATCAAGTGATTCCTAGTAGCAGACAAATAAGTTATTTCTAGAAACAAGTGCTGCCACAAAAATCCCAAATAGTGCTGTTCCAGTAGACTACTCTCCCACCTCACCCTCTCCCATCCCCCACTTGTCCTCTCATCTGCCCCTTGACCTCATAGAGATTTCCAGTTCCCCAATTCCTCCTTCCTTCCCCTTCCCCTTCTTCTCCTTCCCTTTCTCCCCTTCTCCTCCTTCTCTCTCCTTCCTTCCTTCCGTTTCGCTCTGTTGCCCAGGCTAGAGTGCAGTGGTGCGATCTTGGCACACTGCAACCTCTGCCTCTTGGGTTCAAGCGATTCTCCTGCTTCAGGCTCCCAAGTAGCTGGGATTACAGGCGCCCACCACCCACGCCCGGCTAATTTCTATGTTTTTAGTAGAGACGGGGTTTCACCATGTTGGCCAGGCTGGTTTCGAACTCCTGACCTCAAGTGATCCGCCCACCTTGGCCTCCCGAAGTGCTGGGATTACAGGTGGAGCCACCGCGCCCGGCCCTCCCTGCTTTCTCACACAGCATTTCTCTCTTGCCTTCTCTTCGTTCCCTACTCAGCCCAGTCTCATGGCTAATCATCTGACCCCCAGTTATATTTATCCTATTTTTGCTGGTGAGAAATCTGTCAGTCTAGGTGACATTCCATTGTAGGTAATCTGTCTTATTTATATGACAGCGTATGTGATTTTCCCTTTTTCTTTACTGTTTTATGGCTTCATTCTGAGGTATCTGAGACTTCATGCCAATCCTCAACCTTCTGACTTGGGCCTTAAATTCTGAAAAGTTTTCATATTTTATTTCTTTTCATTGAATGTTGCCTCTCTTTTCAACGCATTTTCTGTAATTTCCCCTTCTGGAAAAAATTATTAAGCACATGTTGAAATTTGTCCTTCTGCTGAAATTGTTTCTTACCCTCTTTCTTATTTCTTTATCTGTTTACCTATTTGTATTGCATCCTGGTTAATTTCCACATCCCTCTTTTTTCAGTAATTCTCTCTCCACCTATATCTAATCTGGTTTGTAATTATGTCTAAAATTTTGAATTTAATGACTACATTTTCATGTCTAGAATTTCAAAATTTTTAAAATATGCCTACTTTCTTTTCATAGTCGTATTATTTCCTTATGATTTCTATTTTATTTTTCCTCTTTATTCATTTTTGAACACATTTTCTATATTATTCAGATTGTTCTGTTATTTTTAAGCATTTGCTTTGTGTGCTCATTTTTCAACTTATTTTATCTGCTGACTCGCCCTCATGGGGGTCCGTTTCCTTAAATGTTTGTAAATTTAGATGATCGATTCTTTGATGGTGGTGACTTTTCCAGTGAGGATCCTATATCTCTGGATTTGATGATCGATTCTTTGATGGTGGTGACTTTTCCAGTGAGGATCCTATATCTCTGGATTTGATGATCGATTCTTTGATGGTGGTGACTTTTCCAGTGAGGATCCTATATCTCTGGATTTGATCGATTCTTTGATGGTGGTGACTTTTCCAGTGAGGATCCTGTATCTCTGGATTTGCTTCTCCAGTTACCTTTGTTTCAAGGGGTTTGCTTAGGGGTTTCAAGGCTAGTTGATAGTTTTTAGCTTCATTTTTCATATGGCACTTTCTGTGACTAAACTCTATTCCTATTAGGTATAAGTTCAGATCCATAGGAGGCCTGAGGTGAACATTTTGGTGGACATCTCCCATTCTTATAGGAGGTATGTTTTTGCCTACAAATTCATGTAGGTTACAACCTTCCTTGTGACTGACCTGGGCATTAGCAGAGTTTTCTAGTCTCTCTCTCTCTCTTTTTTTTTTTTTTTGGACTAGGTAGCTCTTAATATATCCTGAATTTGTGAAAGAGCCTCTTGGCCTCACAGGGGCTTGAAAACCCAGCTTCCAATTTCTAGCTCCATTATCCTGGGCCAGTAGCCCTGGATCGCATAGGTAGGCTGAAAAGCATTGCTCTAACTTTCAGTTCTCTCTTCGCTTCTGAGAGTCCGCCTTCTTTCTTTCAAGCTTAGTTATGTACAAAGTATTTTTGTTATGTTTTATGCAGGATGACGTGTCTATCACGGGAGGGAGTCCCGTCACGTCCTAAGTTGAGGGAGTGACTCAACTTAGCTCAGTCTGCTATATTACTATAATCAGAATGACTCATTTCTAACCTTCCTTTCTTTATCCTCAAACTGTAAACATACTCATCTATCTTCCTCTTTAAAAAAATCCAGGTCATATTTTGTGTTTTTCTCTATAGGTAAATTCCTGTCTCTTTCTTCTATTTTCCAGCCCAAAGCTGAAAAACTGTAGACTATATTTTGCCTCTACTTGTAAACTTCTCATTGATTTTGCAAACCCCCTGCAGTCTGGCTTCTCTTCTCACCATTGTGTAGAAACTACTCTTACTTGAGGAACGGTAAGGAAGCCACTCGCTGCATCTGAGTGAGTGCAGTGAAGTTTAATGGGAGAAAGGTAACAGAGGCAGAAAATCAAATAGAACCTTGAAAGTCATTGTAAGGTCTTGGCTTTTACTCCATGATAAGGATTTCGAGCTTTGGAGCAATGTGCTTTGACTTTGTTTTCAAGGTTTTACCCTTGCTGCTATATGGAGGCAAGAGTGGAAGCAGAGAGAGCAACAAAAAGCCTGTTGTAATAATCCGGGTCAGTGGTGATGACTTGGGTCTGTAATAGCAGGCATTGACAAATAGATAGACCCAATAGGCTTTGTTAATGGATTTGATGTAGGGTGTATGAGAGAGAGAGGAGTCAGGGAGATTCCAAAGTTTTGGCCAGATGAGCAAGGATGGAGTTGCTACCACTTAAAATGGGGAAGGCTACTGGTGGAGCAGGTTTTGAGGGGAAGATCAGGAGTTCAGTTTTGGACAGGTTACGTTTGATATATCTATTGACATCTAAGTGCAAAAGTGATATATGTATTTAGCATCTCAGTGGAGGTGTCAGTCTGGGGTTCAGGAACTGTATCTGATTACATTTTATACACCACCTTGCAGTTAGATTTGAGCCATGGCAATAGGTTCTGGATAATGGGATGTGGGTCGAAACCACCTCTAGTTCTAAGCCTTTAAAACATCCCATACAATCCTCCAGTCTTTTTCCCAGACACGGCGGCAAACCAGGAGAGACCATGTCCGGACGATGTAGTTCTATATATCAGACTATGACATGGAGAGTTAGGCACTGGGATTTTAGGGTTTATTTATTACTGCAGCATAGCCTAAGCATACTTGACAGATACAAGGGGAGACGGTCAGGCTGTAGATGCAGTGTTGGGATATATCAATATATTGAGACATCCTGGCCCATGTGACTGGATGATGACATTCAAAGAGAAAGTTGAGATGGGGAAAAGAAAAGAAATCCCTGGGCCTCCGGGCATTCCAACACTAAGAGGTCAGGGAGATCTCAGAGAGCCAGATGTCAAGCTTCTGAGCGGGAACCTTTGTAGTGCGAGCAACAAAAGAGAGAATTAAATATGGGTGATGTTGAAAAAAGCAAAAGTGTTTTTGTTTAGAAGTGTGTCCAGTGCCACACCGTGGAAAAGGGAGGCAAGCATAAGACTGGGCCCAATCTCCATGGTCTCTGTGGGTGCAAGACAGGTGAGGTGGCTGGATTCTTGTACACAGACACCAAGAAGAACAAATGCATCATCTACGGAAGGAGCAATTGGAGAATCCCAAGTAGTACATCCCTGGAACAAAAATGATCTCCACTGGTGTTAAAAGGAAGGCAGAAAGAATTGGTCACTGCCTTATTTACTTAGAAACCAGAATTGTCTCATGATTTTACGTGTATTGTAGTGTCATTGATCTAATATACCAGGGTTCAGGTCATGTATGACTGGCAGAATATTTTTGTTGGGCAGCCCTGATAAGTAAGACTGGCTTCTGGTTAAATGAATATGATCAGTTTTTTTGAATTTTGACAGCAATTCGGACTCAGTAAATGCTATCCCTGTTTCCCCTTCTACAGATATGATTGAGCTTGATGAGAAACGTCCAACTTTTCACAAAGACGAGAATGCCATCCCCAAACCTACTGGAGACTGGTTTTTAATTTAGATGTGTGTAACTAGTTATATGAATATATTTTAATACTGGAAAAATTCTTGCACTGTCTCAGAACCAAGCAAGACTCACATGTTCTTTAAATTTGTGTTCATTTGCCTGTGAAAGGTAAGGGCTGAAGGTAAGAACGCAATGTTTATGTTTTTGGTCTTAACTCTGCCCAGCTAATTAGAATTCCCTGTATCTAAAATGCTGCCTTTTACTTATTGAAGGGCATTTTAATGGTTTATGTGTCGTATCAAATGAAAACACTTCTCACACTTATAGATGACACTTGTCACCTTTTAAAATCAGTGTGACAAGAAATAGTAGCAAGTTAAACTTTACTTTCAGACTCTTGACTAAGTTGGACTAAGTATTAACTTACGATTGTCATTAAACCGCTATTCAAAAACACAGAACTGTAGAATTACTGTGTGTGTGTGATTGGCAATGGTGCTTTGCCAACTTGTTAAAAGGATTAAAGTAGAGGAGCTATATACGAAATTATAAATTATAGGTGATCGTAAGACTTAAGAAAATTAAAAACAAAATCCCAGATCATGAAAAAAAAAAAAAAAAGAAATCAGGGAGGAACTAAGTAATTAAGGGGGTGCTACCAGCAAGGAAACAGAAAGAATAGGAGAATGAGCTATTCTGGAAGCCAGATGAAGAAAATATTTCAAGTAGGGGTAAATGATTAACCGTGTCAATTCTTGTTAATGAGATCAAGGAAGGTGGGACCTGAGCATTGACCATCGGTTTAGCTGAATGGAGGTCACTGATCATGTTGGCTGCCAGTGCCAATAGAGTGGTGAGCACAAAAACCAGGCTGAGGGCGATTTGGGAGAGAATGGGAGAAGAGTTGATGAGAGTGACCACAGAAGCTGAAGGGCTAGTAGGGTCAAGAGAGGGTTTTTCTGTGATTGTGTTTGTTAATTTTGTTTTGCTTTGGTTTTTGGTGGGAGAAAGACCTGTATATTTGTAGGATGAGTCAGTAGAGAGGGAAAAGTTGATGATACAGGAGAAAGAGGAGGACAGTTTCAGGAGCAATGTTCTTGATTAGGAAAACCGGTGGGGATCTAGCTTACAAATGGAGGGACAGGCCTTAGACAGATACACAGACAGTTCATCTATAGTGACAGGAAGGCAGACAGAGTTCCTGGTACAGTTGCTTGAGGATGGACAGGTATGGTGGTGGAAGTTTGTGGAGGATCCCTTCTAACTAATGTCACCTTGGAGTCATTCATGTTCCTCATTCTCTTACCCTTACCACTCACATCTATCAATTATCAAGCCCTGCCTATTACAATCACTCATTTTCTTTTTTTTTTTTTTTAAATTTTACTTTAGGTTCTGGGATACATGTACTGAACGTGCAGGTTTGTTACATAGGTATACATGTGCCATGGTGGTTTGCTGCGCCTATCAAGCCATCATCTAGGTTTTAAGCCCCGCATGCGTGAGGTATTTGTCCTAATCCTCTCCCTCCCCTTGCCCCCCACCCCAGACAGGCCCCGGTGTGTATAATCACTAATTTTCTTATACAGGATTCTTTTTCTTTGTCCTTGTTGCTATTTCAGTCATCTGTTTTTCTCTTCCTAGTGATGCAGGTGAACCCCACACTTGGGGCTCAGCTTGGGAGGTTTTTTGGCTTCACTCAGGAAAGAATTCAAGATTGAGCTGACAGTGAAAGAAAGCAAGTTTATTAGAGTGAAGCGTACAGCAGAATGGCTGCTCTGTAGACGGAGCAGGGCTATCGCATAGGCAGAGTAGCACTCATGGATTGCTGGCTAGCTATATTTATACCTACTCATAAATATATGCTAAATAAGGGGAGGGCTATTCAAGAATTTTCTAGAAGGGGGGAAGGGACTTTCTGGAACCATATATGAAAACTTCTGAGTTATTGCCATGGCATTTGTACTGTCATGGTGCCGGTGGGAATGTCTTATGCAAATGTATTATAATTCCAAGTGCTAGCTGGTTTTGGCCAGTTTCTTGGCTACATCCTGTTTTGATCGACAGGGTTGTGAAAACAAGTCCTGCTGATCTCCTACCTCACCAGGACTACCAATACAGTTGACTAGCTGGTCTCCCTACTTAGATTTGTTTCTCTGAAATTCATCCTCTACCCCTCTCCCAGAGAGAACTAGCTAAAGCAAATTTTTTTTTTTCTTTTTTGAGACGGAGTCTCGCTCTGTCGCCCAGGCTAGAGTGCAGTGGCGCCATCTCGGCTCACTGCAAGCTCCGCCTCCTGGGTTCACGCCATTCTCCTGCCTCAGCCTCCCCAGTAGCTGGGACTACAGGTGCCCGCCACCACGCCCGGCTAATTTTTTTTGTATTTTTAGTAGAGACAGGGTTTCACTGTGTTAGCCAGGATGGTCTTGATCTCCTGACCTCGTGATCCGCCCGCCTCGGCCTCCCAAAGTGCTGGGATTACAGGCGTGAGCCACTGTGCCCAGCCTAAAGCAAATATTTGATCATGCCACTCCACCGTAAGACTTGATAGAAGGCCTTCCGTGGTGTGGAATCCACCTAGCTAGCTTCCTGGCCTCTTCTCCTGAGACTTCATGACTAATTTTTGCCTCAACAATATCACACCGTTTGAACTATAAATTTTCTTCCTCCAACTGTCTGTTTTACTTGAAAGACTTACCCAGCAGAATTCAACATTACTCTCCCCACTTCTCTCCTTCCCTCCTCTGCCTCTAGCAAAATACTCATTATCCATAAGACTCAGTGACTTAGCTCAAATGCAAGTCTTCTGGAGCATTTCCCAGAGCCTCGCTCTCTTTATAGCTGGGTTGGAATCTTTTGAGTTTCAATACTATCCACCCACACTGCTCCATTCTGTCATTACACTCAGCATATCTGCGCATATGTTTATCTGCTCTATCAGACTCTTCTGCTTCTGAGGGTAGAAATCCTGTCACTTATCTTTCCATTTCCAGGGCCTAGCACCGTTCTTGGTGTAAAGTAGGTGTTTAGCAATGATGAACTGAAGAGTGCACTTCTCTGAGAAAGAAGATTAAGATTTTTTAAACTTGGCAGGTTAAGCATTACATAAACAAACACGAAAACACAAACACACTAGGCCTCTGGTAGGGAAAGCAGTGCTTCAGGTGCCCAGGAAAAGCAGTGACATGATTGGGTGTCTAGAAGAAGATCAAAACTAAGAAAGCAAGCAGATTAGCTGGATAGCATGGAGAGCTCTGAGAGACGGACTGCTGGAGTATGATTTAAGATGGAAAGGGCACATGGTAGAGTCTTAGAAGTGCCATGGGCGAGGGTTAGGGGCCAGACCATGCTGGCAGAGGCCTGCAGGATCCCAGTGGGAAAAGTTCTGGTAGCAAAACTAAACTGGAGCGTCTGATTCATTACTTCTATACCTACCCACCCTGAGAGATCTCAGAAGCTGTCTGCAGCCTAGGAGGTCCCCAAAAGCTGAAAGCCTTGACTAAGAACATTTTGTTGATGTTTTAGACATAGGAATTTTACTTCCAGCAGTCTACCCTAACAGCATACCTGGACTCGTGACCAAACATGTACATGAATGGATATTCACTATTATTTATTTACAATAGCAAAAAATTTAGAAATGTGAGTCGTTTACCTCGTATTTTTTCTATATTTTAAATTTTGTAACAAGCTGTATAACTTTTATAATAATAAGCCAAGAATAAAAGAATAAAGTCAGAGACGAAAGCAAACAAATACAAAATCACTTGGAAAAGTCTTCCTAATAGCATTTCATTCATATTTTTATTATGAAATATTATTCGTTTTTGTTTTTTGAGACAAGGTCTCACTCTGTTGCCCAGGCTGGAGTGCAGTGGTGCAATCTTGGCTCACTGCATCCTCTACCTCCTGGGCTCAAGTGATCCTCCCCTCTCAGCTTCCTGAGTAGCTGGGACCACAGGCACACACCACCATGCCTGGCTAATTATTTTAATTTTTGTAACGACAGGGTCTTGCTATGTTGCCTATGCTGATCTCGATCTCCTGGGCTCAGGCCATCCTCTGCCTCAGCCTCCCAAAGCACTGGGATTACAGGTGTGAGCCACCGTACCTGGCTGAAATATTGTCTATAAGAATTGATTTAGGGATAATATTTTTGAAATGCCCTCAATGTACTTGTCGGCAATCTAGTTTCTTTCCTTATAAGCTTTCATTTATTATTGGCTTGTGGAAAGAGAAGTTATATCACCTGGGGAAGGTAGTTCCTACCAAATAGGCAGGGGTGCTGGTAGGAGCCTGGGGAGAGATTCAGAGGGGATAAAGCAAGGGCTTCCCTGACAGGCAGGCTCTCAGCTCTCTTACCCATTGAAATTTCGGCTGCCAAATAGTGATGTCCCTCAACATGCAGGGACCATCACGGCCCAGCTTTGTATAACTAGTACTGAAAACCAAGTCTCGCATATATTGAGTAGAGTCTAAAATACGTGTTGTTAGATGCATGATCAATTAGTCTTGTTTTCGTGCTTTGAGTTTGAAACTTTCAATATAAGTTAAAATGTTGATGAGAATATACTTACAGTTGAACCACAGGTTGAAACTTTTCTGTGAAGTCAAGCCTCAGAGGGCAGCCATATTCTCCCCAAATATACCTTACTCTCTAGAAAAGGAAAACTACTTTAGTGATTTTATATATTTGGTCCATTGACAGAATTTTATCATTTTCTTACCAAGTTTTTCGATGGCTGATGCCTCAGATATGACCTGTGAAAAAGACATTCCTCATTATTTCTCTTTCCTCTTTTCAAACTTAAAACTAAACCCATGACTTTGTTTAGGTAAGGAGGTATCACAAAGGTCAAACAGATAAATATAATTATGAAATACTGAGGCACTTTCTACATGTATATCCACACATATTAACACGTTCTTACAACCACTAAGGCGTGAATTACTGTCCTCTCTTTGTAGATCTGGTACTATTCTCAGAAACTGTGTGAAACTCGTTCAAGGCTGCAGACCTTGCTTTACTACTGAGCAGGATGTGTGACAATAAAGCCCATGTTCGTTGTGCTATTCCAGTACAGTTCTTCCCAGAATATTAACAGATGAAAGAATAAGATACATCAGAATCAGTAACAATAGATGTGTATTTTAAAACTTCAGATGTTTCCTAATTTAGATTTCTCACGAGAGTGGAATGCTTCACGTTCATGAACTCAAGGACTTATTCCTTCAAAATCACCTCCCCCACATTCCCTGTCTTCTCAGTCCTCACACTTGAATCACTGTTTCCAGCCATATGTTCCATGTATGTTACCACGTTGCAGGGGACAGACTCAGGAAACCCCCATCACAGTGACAGAGTCTATTTCATATTCTTGCCTTTCAGGTGCAGCTGCCAGCTAGACACTAAAAGGTGGTGTCCTCATCAACTATTAAACATTTTCTTCTCATCCTTGTATTTCACCAATGGCTTTCACTAAGCATTGCAACCTGGAGCATCTAGGCTGGGCCACTCTCCACCCTGCCTTAATTAATGAAATCACTTAAAGAATATGCCTACTGGTTAAACATTCTTTCATTTATTTTAATTAATAAATTAGACTACTTATTATTTTAAATAATAATTTCTAATTAGAATTAGAAAATTTCATAGCTTTTCAAAGATGCTTGTAAATATTTCAGAGGCTGTGGACTTCTATATTTTGACAGTCTAACAAATATTTAACATTTAAAAATGAAGATCTTTATCTTACAAAGGTAAAAGTCAAATTTTATTTAGTTATATCTTTAATACATCACATTATTAAAAATAAATATGCATACAATTAAATATAAAATCTAGAAAAAATTCAGTTAGTAGAATATTTGATGTCAGGACTTTCCGGGTAAATATATTACTTCTAACTAGCTGAACTACAGTCTTGTAGAATTTAAGCCACCATGCCCGGCTAGTTTTTTGTATTTTTAGTAGAAATGGGGTTTCGCCACGTTGGCCAGGCTGGTCTTGAACTCTTGACCTCAGGTGATCCACCTGCCTCGGCCTCCCAAAGTGCTGAGATTACAGGCATGAGCCACTGTACCCGGCTTCAGTCATGTAGAATTTGAGAAAAATTATGTAAGGAAAAAAAATTCTTGTATGTCTTCCTTAAATTACAGGGAGCAATATGAGATTTGAGACTACATATATGTAAATGAGGCTTGCTTTGCTTATCCAATTAAATTGAAGGGGGAAGACTGACTCTTGTATGTTTCAGGAAAGTTAATTATACCATCTACACATTTTGCTTAATGCTAAAACTGACTGCACAGTGTCAAGCCGAACACATGGATGCTAATAATAATCCACTGAATAAGTACTGATTGTAAAGTATTGGTACTACGTTAATATAAAACTCAGTGCTTATGTTAAAAAATTTCTTACTTTTCAATCACGTATGAAAAATCATGGTGATGACATCCTTTTTTACTAAATCTACAAAAGACAAAACATAATGAAGTTGAAATATCATTTCTTAAATATTTGCAAAAACATTTAATCATTTAACTCAGTGATTCTCAAACAGGAGAGTGTCAGAGAATCATCATTTACTGAATTAGAATCTCTGGTTAGTGTGTAGCCTTAGCATTTCTGTTTTTAAAACATCAGTTTCATAAATGTTTCAGGAGATACCAGAATTTGAAATCTACTGATTTATCTCTTATATTTGATACATGCTTATTAAAAATTATAGCAGATGCAGGGCTTGGGGAGAGGTTGCTCAAAAGATAGACAATTTCAATTAGATAGGAGGAGTAAGTTCCAGAGGTCTATTGTACAACATGGTGACTTTAGTTCATGATATATTGTATTCTTGAAAAACGCAAAGAGAGTAGATGTGAAGTGTTTTCTTACCACCAAAATGATAACTATGTGAGGTAAGACATATGTTAACTAGCTAGATTCAGTCAGTCCACAATGTATTTTAAAACATCATGTGGTACACACTAAATACATACAATTTTATCTGTCAAATCAGAACAAAAACCAAAAACTCCCCAACACAGAAAGAAACAAGAGTTGGCAAGGAAGCAGAGAAATTGGGACCCATATATATTGCTGGTGATAATGTAAAACAGTGCAGCTGCTATGGAAAACAGCTCGGAGGTTCCTTAACAAGTTAAACATAGGATTACCATACAACCTAGCAATTCCACTCCTAGGTAGATACCCACAATAATTCAAAACAGGTGTTCAAACAAACACTTGTACACAAATATTCATAGCTGCACTATTCACAAAAGCCAGAAGGTAGAAACATCCCAAATATCCATGAACTGCTGGATGGATAAACAAAATGTGGTACATCCATTCAATGGAATATTACTCAGCCGTAAAAGGGAAGGAAGGACTAATACATGCCTGTTGAACCTCAAAAGCAGACTTAGGTGAATGCAGCTGGACACAAAAGGTCATATGTTGTAGGATTCCATTTATGTGAAATATTCAGAGCAGGCAAATCCATAGAGATTATGGTTTTGAGACAGCAGATTATGGTTGCCAGGGGCTGGGGGAAAGGGAGAATGGGAAATGACTGCTAACTGGGTAAAGAGTTTCCTTTTGGGGTGACAAAAATATTGTGGAACTAGATAGTGGTGCTAGCTGTACAACATCGTGAAGGTACTTAATTCCATTGAATTCTATACTTTAGAATGGTAAATTTATATTATGTGAATTTCATCACACTTTTTAAAAAGCTGCCATGGTAAAACACACATGCACACACAAAAAAACTCATAGAAAATCTATCAAAATGAAAACAAATTTCTTTGGACTGTTTTATTAGATGTAAACTTCTTTTAAATGCAAGATTTCTAGTTGCTACTATTGTGCAGGTAAGGAGTTATTTTAAGGATTAACATAATTTCTAGTTAGGGTTCATAAGACAGAAGGCTATAATGATCGTTGTAATTATAGGAGTTTTTAGTTAGGTAAATTATTCATCTGACCATTTTAGCTGGCTGCTTCCAGTGGAACTTAGAAAGAACCCTTGTCACCACCATTTTTAGATAGATATTGGAAGTCTAGACCATCCCTCACCCTGAACACAAATTGGACCCCAAGAGTTGACAACTCTCCTTCATTGACAAGTCCCTGGCTCTCCAAAAGTAACTTGGACCCCATGCTATTCCAGGTCTCCCCTGGTGACTGTAAAATCCATAGGCCCACTGTAACTTGAGCCCAAGATATTAGAGTTTTTAGGGTTCCAGGGAAGTGGGTCATTGACTAAGAGGCCCAGAGTAAGGTCCTAAAATCCATGTTTTCAAAACATGTTCTCCAAGTGATTCTGATGAGTAACTGAGCTTGATAGTTATTATTCGGACCCTTCTAGAAACAGACTGCTTCAAGCTGCTTTCCATCTCACTTTAGAAGGAAATCGGGCCTGAGAAGGCATTCTGCATGCAGCGGTACTGGGAACTGATTTTGGTAACGTTTGCACCAGTTATTCTCAAATGTTAGTGCTCCTTGTAATCTCCTGGAAATTTTGTTAAAATGCAGATTTTGATTCAGCAGGTGTGGGATGAGGCCTGAGAATCTACATTTCTAACAAGTTCTCAGGTGATGCCAGTGTTGGTCCATAGGCCATACTCTAAGGAGCAAAGATGTAAATCATCCCTGAAATAGGATGATACCGGCTATATAAATCAACTAGCCTTTTTGCATTTTCTGGGAAAGGAATTACGGGTGCAAAGATGTTAGGAAATGCAAATTTAGGAAATGCTGAATGAGATGCAAATACTTAATTATCAATCCAGCAACTGATTATTACAACTCAGTAATAATTAAAAGATTATTAGAATGACAGAGGAGTAGATATTTGTTTTGGATGTCAGCAAGTAATTTCATAAATACTCAGATAAGAGTCAATGTTCCCCGACTCTCACTCCCACTCCTAACTGAAGGAAAGGAATCACAATAAATTTCTGTCTCTGTTATACATTTAGCCTCAGCTAAACAGATTTGTGTATGCTGCCTTTGATTTTCTCCCATGTAGAAGAAAGAGAGGTATGGTGAATGGAAGACACAGAGTCCAACGTGCTTCATCATGAACCATAGTAGAACCGACAAAATTCACACGTTGGGATTCTCTAGGGCAATCACTGTGGTTCTGCTAGGCTTGTTCTAAGAAATTTCCCATAGAAAATGGTGCAGAAAACTGAGGCTTCTCTGATATGGGTGTAAGCAGTTCTCTGATGGAAATGAAATTATAACTGGTTTGAGAAGGATGGAAAACTGGTAAGTGTTTCTCCCTCCTATTTTTCTGGGAATGAGCCGTAGACTGAAGAGTTGAGAGAGGCAACTGTGAAGGACAGAAACTGGCTTATTAAAAGGGAAGGTAGAGAAAAAATGCTAGTAATAGAGAAAGAGGCTAATTCTTTTTATTTTTAGTATGATTCAAATGTAGTATTTAACTTGGCAAAAGTTTAAACCAATTGAATCTAGGCATGAACGTCAATTCAGTTTTGGATTTCATTGTGGATGTGTCAGTCATTAGGCTATTATCACTAGCAGTTATCACTTAGTTTACCATTTGTTTTAAAACTTAAAGAGTAACACAGGTCAAATGGAAATATACTTACCCTTTAATTGCAATGAATTTTTTATCATCACAGCCAACAGCTATTTGGAACACCTAAAATGAAGTAACTTAGGTAGTGAGTTCAGCAGTTCTGATTCATATGATCTAAAATATTACAGCTAAAACCAATTGCATTTTAGATTTAAAATAATAACTTGTAAAATGTAGGGTTCTCTTATACCACTGCTCTGCACTGTTTTCTTCCTCTTTCCTTGATCACTTTTTTTTTTCTTTCCTTCCTTTTGTCTTTACTGCTCATGAGGCCCAAAAGTTGGGTCTCTCCTTTCTTACATTTGTGTCTCAGGGAATTGATCCAAATTCATCTTTTTTTTTTTTTTTTTTGAGATGAAGTCTTGTTCTGTCGCTCAGGCTGGAGTGCAGTGGTGCGATCTCAGCTCACTGCAACCTACGCCACCCGAGTTCAAGCGATTTTCCTGCCTCAGCCTCCCAAGTAGCTGGGATTATAGGCATGCACCACCACGCCCAGCTAATTTTGTATTTTTAGTAGAGACAGGGTTTCACCATGTTGGTCAGGCTGGTCTCAAATTCCTGACCTCATGTGATCCACCTGCCTCTGCCTCCCAAAGTGCTGGGATTACAGGTGGGAGCCACCACACCTGGCTCAAACTCATCTTTTACCTGTTTCTCTACAACCATGACTATCAAATCTCTACTTCCAGTTTGCACCTCTGACTCAGCTGGCAGGTTTCTATAATCTGTCCAGCTACTAATCTGACTTGCTGTTTTCACTTTTGTAGACCAGTAATTTCTCAGGGTACTGAGCATCACGTGAAATAGCATCTTACTATTGTTATTCCTCCTTTAAGCAGCAATACTCTATTCAAAGGAGCACTGGTCACAGGCTAATTATTAACTATTAAACCACTGTCCTCATTTTATGGATATTTATTCTAAACATTACTCATAATTGCTTTTTTAAAGAAATGCACATACGTGCTTTGTTTGAAAACAAATGACCTGTGGATCCTATAGCTTTGTTAACACAGCCCACGCTTCTCTGTAGGTCAACTTTGGGATACAGGGGAGAAAGGCAAATGTAAAATCAAACAATGGCATCATATAGCCAGGCTGTTCCATGATGCCTTGTTTCATGGGCTGGAAATGCCCAAGAAGGGCATTTGATATGGAAAAGGCTAACTCTCAACCAAATAAAATCCCATTAGAATCTGATGCAATAAGTATATTGCATCTATCCCCAAATGTACCTCTACCGTTAGTAGCAATTTTTACCTTCTCTTTTTAACAGATTCAATACTTTTGCAGTAAGAACAGGGTAGAATGAATATTACACACAAAAATTAAAATGGAATTTCATGGAACTTTGCTAAGAAGATAGGTTATATCTGGTAGCTGGAATGCATTATATCTAAAGATGAGACTATTAGCTTCATTAAATCTCAGTTATTAGGAAAACGAACTGTTGCAAAATATCTTACCCTGCTTGTAATGCTTAGATACATGTTGCTTAAAAATAATATACAGGTTCCATGGAACTAAAATACAATTAATTACTATACAGATATTAAAGGAAGGCTTACAGAGATAGTGAAAGTTAAAAATAAAGTGGATGAATGCTTTAGCTTTATCTATAAGAACTGTCAGTTTTCCAGGCAGAGAGTCATGGCTGCTTGTAACCAGGGTCCTGGTTCTCCCTCTGCTGGGATACCTACTTCCATTTCCACCTGGCTCCAGGACCCCTGACCTTCCAGCAGGCTGTCTCAACAGGGTCTACACACTTGCGTTCTGCCTTATGCATGTTGTTGGATGTTGCACATTTCCACAAAGCAAATCTGGAAAAACTCTAATACTCCCTACCGTATAAGAAGGACTTAGGGGTCAGGAGGGTGGGGATAGGACGATGTCCAGCCAAGTTTGGTGGCCTTAAAGAGTTGATGCTGCTAAACCAAGACCTTTTGGTCTTCATTTCAAAGGCATGCTTCACAGTGGGAGTGCATATTTTATTTCCTGGACCACTTGACTTCAAGCACAGGGCCTGATTTGTTCTCCCAACCACACTACCCACAGTCCTCACCAGCCACCATCATTAAATCTTTGCTTTCCTGATCAGAATCATTGGCCTGCCCTTTATCTTTACTAAATTATCTATATAAGGGTTGACAAAGGTTCTCAAATCTATCATAGTCAGGACCCACCATCACTTGATGATCTCATTTGCAATGTTTCTTCTCTTCCTTGTCCTAGTTGAAAAAAATCACCCCAAGCCTCAGGATCAAGCACCATGGCTAGGATTAAAAATATGAGTTAACCTGTAGGTGGATATTGAAAAGGAGTTGCAGGTATAGTGTGGGGAGCACAAATAATCCTGTTTCCTAGAGTACCCACTGCTGCAGGGCTGACACATATTCCCAGAACTGGACACCTAATTAGAGAGATTCTGACATATGGCCTAAATGACAACACTTCTCCTTAGTGCAGAGACGGAGCCGGACAGCTCCTGCCTTAACCAAGAGTTGGACACAGCGTATTTCTTCTAACCAGACAGATTAACTGACCTGAGACAGGGATTCTAAAGGCCCTCAACACAAATGCTGTTAGATAATGCACTGCACAAAGCTGTAGTCACCCCTCCCAGGGAAAGTTCATCTCGGAAGGATTTACTAAGGCCCTCTGGGGGCTGGCCTACATTTCTGCATTTCCAGTTCTTGGTGCATGGTTAAAAAGTGAGATGCAGCCTTGTTGGAGCTGCCAGTTCTATTTGCTGCTCTGCTGCAGGCTCTGAACACTAAAAGATAAAGACAACAGGCTCCTATTCAAATAGTGCAGTCCATGTCCCTTCGGTCCAGCAGGTTTAGCAAGGGCCTAACTTCACCCAGTGGGTCAGTCTGTAGGCCATGGTTCTGTGTCTACACAGAGCTGGGTCCTATGTCTCTACAATATTTATCTGGGAGGCTGATGGCTTGCTAAGCCATGAGTGTGGGAGCACAAGGAAGGAACCTTGTGGTTGAAGGCATACTTCACAGTTGTGTGCATGTTTTGATTTCCTTGGCTGAGTAGAGGACCTGCCTCTACACGGCCACATTTCCTGTTGCCTGAAAGGGCTACCGCATCTTTCCTCATTCTATTTCAGTGGGTAGGTCAGGACAAACTACCTGCAGTGGGCACAGAGGATGGCTAGATTTGTCCTGTCCTTGTCTGCAGGGTACCAAAGAGGAAACAGAAGGAAGAAACCAGTATATTAGATAATTACTATGTAATAGGCATTGCTTTGGGTACTTTACATGAATAATCTCATTTAATACTCTCAACAACCCCATAAGATAGATGGTACATTTTCCCTTTTACAAATGAGGCAGCTGAGGCTCAGAGTAAGTAGCCTACCCAAGCCAGTGGATGGTAGAATGTGGATCTGAACTCAGGTTAGATGAACCTGATTTTGTAATGCCTTGGCTGGGCAGGATAGAATGAATAGGGATCCCTAAAAAATTCTATAGATTAGAGAGGGCTGGAGGAAACCACGGTGCTTCGGGAAGGCATCCATAAAGGAAGAGGGTAAAAGCAGTTAAAGACAGAAACTGCAGACCTAGGCTAGGCCAGGACCTTCCTAGGTTGTGGTTTCTTATTTCCTACGTGGATTAAGCTGGCATGTGGTAGGCAGACAGGGGAGTTGTTGGTGTGCACCTGCAGGCGATTTCCTGGGGAAGCAGCGTGTGTCTGCAGTGCTCAAGGATGGATCACGTCTGCCTCAGTTCAAGGCTCCCTCTAAATGTATGGAACCTTGCCCTGGTAGGAACGCAGGTTCCTCATGCTTGGGTTCTGAATGGGAGGGGCCAGGTCCTATTTCGCTTTGTATTCCCCATATATAACACAATGCCTGGTATATAGTAGGTGCTCCATATATGTTTACTGAATGTTAGGCTGAGAAGTAATAGAGAGAGGAGACGTGTGAAATATAGACTCAAAGGAGGCGGGGTTAAGAATTTATGTTGAATTTCACAATACTATAATATAATATATAATATAGTAATAATACTGTTCAGTTACCTGAACACCCTGATACTATTTCATCCCTCCATGCCTTTTCCTGGAATGTTTTTGCACCTGCCTGCTGAACTTCTACCTATTCATCACTGGTCGTTTTGTGTATCCCTTTCTTTTCACCTTTCCCCTCCCAGTCTCAGTAAACTTCCTTAGTTTACTTTCCTCTGGGCTGTTTGAGAACTGTGTATACCATTTTCCATAATAAAATGTTGCAAAATTAAGCTAGTTTACGTTTACCTCTAGGGAAGGTACCCTGTCTTTTTATTTTTGCAACTCCCATTACCGAGCACACAGACTGACACACAGAAACAGAGTAGGCATACAATAAACTTTTTTAAATGAATAAATGATTTTTTCTTTGTTTTTTTATTAAATTATGAATAAACGATTGTTTTGAAGAAATAAGTGCAGAATAAATATGGAACTTGCTAAGTAATAGGAGGATGGTACTCTATGGAGGTATTGTATGGAGGTATTGCATGGAGGTATTGTACGGAGGTATTGTATGCATTATTTGGTTGACCGCCTATACATTCTTGAAGTGAAATATTTGGGTCTTCAGCCCATGTCGCTTACCTTTTGGGCTATTGGACATGCTTTTGAATATTCACTAGGTCGAAACTGAACCAGCACAAGACCCGTGTGCTTGTCTCTAGGAGAAACAATTCGTACAGGTTATTGTATCATGTGAGAGACAGGCATGACACTGTCTTTCTGTAGAGCAAGTGCAAAGTCCCATGTGCACGGTGTGATTGACCTCCCACGCCAATTTCTAGAGGCCTGGAGGATGGTGCTGCTGGTAACAGCTCTCTGCTTCTGCTAAGACAGCTCTGCATGCTAGTCCTATTGTAAAGTTGCTCCCACCTCATCGTATCCCATGTTTTGGCCACCATAGGGTTAATGCGATGGGAAGCAGAAATGAGCATCCTACCAGCATTTCAACCACCCTATTTCATTCACACAGTCCCTGGGCAATGGGGCTCTGCTGCAGACATCTCGACCTGAAGGTGGCAGCCACTGTGTGGGTTCCTCCTCTGGCTCCTACCCGTTTTCCCCTCGTATTGATAGCACCTTTGGACAATAAAGAGTGAGTTGTAAAATTAGTTTTCTGAGCCACATTAAATGGTCTAATATGATCTGACTGGGATTGAAAGCTAGGTCAGATAGAATGCCTTTCTCCACTATGAAGTGCACAAGAATCATTTTGTGTTCAGGCAAAACGTGAGGGCTAAAAAATAATAGAAGAAAACGTGAAAGTTTGATTTATACCTACACCTGCTAAGGTTTTTTTTGTCAAAAAAAAATGAGGACAAACAAACATAAAAAGTGTCCTTGGCAATTTTACGTGTATTCTATAGCAATGTAAATCTTAGTAAATATCCACAAAACCATAAATATCCAAAGGAACCTAGACCATTAGGAGCATAAAGAGATAAGTTGGTGGGTGAAAGGGAAAGAAAGGAATTCAGCCTCTCCTGGGTATGGAGTCGAAAGCAGCATTTCTCCCTACTCTTCCTGATCAGTCTCTGTCACTGATTTATATATATATATATATATATATATATATATATATATATATATATATATATATATATATATATATATCAAATTCTGTTTTCTTCATAGCACTTACCAGTATTTGAAATTACTTATTTGATGATTGGCTGTTTTCTCACTGGAGAATGGGTTCCATGACACTAGAACTTCATCTTTCTCATTTACCCTGTATTTTAAATACCTAGAAAGTGCTTGGCATAGAGCAGGTAGTCAAACTCACTTGGAGTAGCACCAGACTAAAGAAAAATGGATTCTTCCTGCGGGTGCAGTGGCTCATGCCTGTAATCCCAGCACTCTGGGGAGCCAAGGTGGGCGGATCACCTGAGGTTGGGAGTTCGAGACCAGCCTGACCAACATGGAGAAACTATGTCTCTACTAAAAATACAAAATTAGCCGGCCGTGGTGGCGCATGCCTGTAATCCCAGCTACTCGGGAGGCTGAGGCAGGAGAATCACTTGAACCTGCGAGGTGGAGGTTGCAGTGAGCCGAGATCATGCCATTACACTCTAGCCTGGGTGACAGAGTGAGACTCCATCTTAAAAAAAAAAAAAGAAAAAGAAAAAAGAAAAATTGATTTTTCCTAGGGAAAATATGCTATTTTTCCAAGAAAATACTTCCAGGCTGTAATGATAGCCATAGGAATGCCTTCACACAGAATTCCATGTTGGTTGTCTTCCTCCAGGTAGCCTAGCTGCTACCTTACTGCAGTAGTCAAAGACAGCATTTTATCTGGCTCTATGCATAAAGAGTTTCTGTGATATCAGAGTTCTTATTTATGCTAGTGATGGTATGTAGAAACTTTGAGATGGGAACTAGTGATAAAATGTGCTTGAAAATTATTCAACTAAGAAACAGCCCTTTTTTTGCATCTTCATTTGGATGAATGAGAAATTCAGATAGGTCATGTTTCTTATTCAACTACAAGGAGTATTTTACATTTTATACAGCTAAATATTAATTTTACATCTATCCAGACATTGAAAGGAATCTGAAATTTGAATATTTAAAAGAATATGAGGCCATTTAAATAAAAGAACACCCACAAATCAATAACCTGAGTAGCATATTTGATACTGAGAAAGTTCTTTTAAAAGTTATACTTACTGTGTCTCAAAGTAATCAGATATTCTCTCATAATCTACATTCTGATAAAATGTTAGTGTCTGAAAAAAGAAAATTTAAAATTTATGTAAAGCAGGGAAATTGGGGGTGGTGATCCCACTTTAGTAGCATATGGCTTTCTACATCTAGGCATGTAAAATGCCTTCATTAGGGTATGTAATGATGTTCATCACGTGTAAGTAATCAACAAGATTGACTGGTGGATAGACAGGTGCATAGATACGTAATAAAGCAAGTACGCAAATATAATAAAATATTAATGTACATAGTGGGTATAGATATAGAGCTGTTAAATGTAAAATTCTTTCAACTTTTCTGTATGTTTGACATTTTCCATAATAAAATGTTGCAAAATTATAATATAAATTGAATTCATAGCCTCACCAAGAATCTCACATAAAAGTAATTCTACCTGACAGAAATGTTTATATGTGCTTTTCAGGAGGTATATACTAAAATATTCATTGTAACATTATTCAGAATAGCCTCCAAATAGAAACAGACCAATGTTCATCAACAGTAAAATGCCTAAGGATATCTTGTAGTACATTCATACAGAGTGACACAATATATCAGTGAGTATGAATGAATGACAGCTACAGAAAACAACATGGACTTTCATAAGCGTCATATTCAAAGACAAAAGCAAGACAAAAATACAATATATGTAGATGTTTATGGATGGATGTGTGTATATAATATACATGCAATGATTCCCTTCATATGAAGTTCAAAAATAGACAAAGCTTAGCTATATTACTTAGTGATGCATATGTAGGTTGTGAAACTATTAAGAAAAGTGAGGAAATTATTATTATTATTATTATTATTATTTGAGATGGAGTTTCACTCTTGTCGCCCAGGCTGAAGTGCAATGGCGCAATCTTGGCTCACTACAACCTCCACCTCCCAGGTTCAAGCGATTCTCCTGTCTCAGCCTCCCGAGTAGCTGGGATTACAGGTACCTGCCACCACATCCAGCCAATTTTTGTATTTTTAGTAGAGACGGGGTTTCACCATGTTGGTCAGGCTGGTCTTGAACTCCCGACCTCAGGCGATCCACCTGCCTCGGCCTCCCAGAGTGCTGGGATTCAGGTGTGAGCCACTATGCCTGGCCGAAAAGTAAGGAAATTATTACCACAAAAGTCAGACTAATGTTTAACCTGGAAAAGGAGACAATTCTGATCAGGGAAAACACAGGAGGGCTTTGGGTACTTCTGATGTTATATTTTTTTGACGTGAATGGTGATTACGTGGGTGTTTGGTTTACAATAATTTGCTAAATTATGCATAAATGTTTTATTTACTTTTCTATGTGGGTGTTATATTCATTTTTAAAAAACAAATGATTAGCTATGATGCTTAGCATCATACTAGCCAATAATTAGTCCGTGAAGTTACAGTGACCCAGCCTGCATTATATAAGCAAGGTGCTTTCATAATATACTATTGTACTTCATTGAGCCTCAATTCCTATAGGATGTAAGACTCATCCTGATTTCAGAGATGTTAAATGTTAAGAAAAAAGTGCCCTATCGAAGAGATCACTTGAGGTTAGGAGTTCAAGACCAGCTTGGCCAACATGGTGAAACCCTGTCTCTACTAAAAAAAAAAAAAAAAAAAAATACAAAAATTAGCCAGGCATGGTGGCATGCACCTGTAATCCCAATTACTCGGGAGGCTGAGATACAAGAATTGCTTGAACCCAGGGAGCAGAGGTTGCGGTGAACCAACATTGTGCCACTGCACTCCAGCCTGGATGACAGAGTGAGACCCTGTCTCAAAAAAATGTGCCTTTGAATTGATAAAATATGGTAGTTGTAGTGATGGTAGCAGTAGGAGTAGTGGTAGTGTTTGTAGTAATGCATACATATAGTACTTAGTATGCGCCAGGTGCTTTTCTAAGCCCTTAATGTATACTAACTCATTTAATCCTCATAAGAACCTTATGTGTCAAGTTGAAAGAAGAAAAAAAATTAGAATAAAAGAACCTTATGAGGTAGTTACTTTCATTACTATTATTCCCAATTTACTGATGAGAGAATTACAGATTTAAAAACTTGTTCAGTGTCATTTGGTAGTAAATGATAGAGCCAGTATTTAATTAGAAATGCAAATTTTGTATTTTTGCAAAATGCAATGTTTCATTGCCATTGGTCATTTGTATATTTTTTATGAATAACTAGTAGTTTGAAGGTCTGAGTTGCAAATACACAAATATACAGTAGACCCTTGAACAACACATGTTTGAACTATGCAAGTACACTTATATATGGGATTTTTTTTCAATTAGTATACTGGAAAGTTTTTTGGAGATTTGTGGCAATTTGAAAAAACTCACAGTTGAACCATGTAGCCTAGAATACTGAAAAAATTAAGAAAAAGGTGTTTCACGAGTACATAAAATATATGTGGATACTAGTCTATTTTATCATTTGCTACCATAAAATATATACAGATCTACTGTAAAGTTAAAATTTATCAAAACTTACACAAACATTTACAGACCACACATGGCGCCATTTGCAGTTGAGAGAAATATAAACAAATGTAAAGGTGCAGTAATAAACCATAACTGCATGAAATTAACTACAGTACACACTGTACTATGTGATCATTTCACAGCCACCTCCGATTGCTATTGCTGTGAGCTCAAGTGTTGTGAGTATCTGCTTAAAATGCTGTGTGACACTAGTCATCCTGTGGGCAGTTCGTCCTTCCAGTAAATTGCATATCACAGCAAAAACTGATCTCTTGTGGTTCTTGCATATTTTTTTTATCATGTTTAGTGCAATACTGTAAACCTTGAATAACACCATGGGCCCATAGAGGGTGCCACTAGTGATGCTGTGGAAGGTGCTCCCAAGCAAAGAAAAGTCATGACATCACAAGAAAATGTTGAACGAGAGGGAAAATTGAAAAACAGAACAAAACAAAAAAAGAGAAATGAAAAAAAATGTTGAAATGATTGATATGTACCTGTGTGTGTGTGTATATATATATATATATATATGTATATGCACCTATATATATAACCTGTATACATATATATGTACCTGTATAGATATGTACCCATATATATGCCTGTATATATATATATGTGTGTGTATATATATATACCTGTATATATAGAGAGAGAGGGAGAGAGAGAGAGAGACAGAGAGAGAGAGCTATATATATATAGCTGTAGACTGAGGTCTACAGTAAATGTGTTTTCTCTTCCTTATGATTTTCTTAATTGCATTTCTTTTCTCTAGCTTACTTTATTGTAAGAATACAGCATATAATACATATAAAATATGTGTTAATAGGCTGTTTAGGTTAGGCTTCCAGTCAACAGTAGGCTGTTAGTAGTTAAGCTTTTGGGGAGTCAAAAGTTATACCACGGCCGGGTGTGGTGACTCACACCTGTAATCCCAGCACTTTGGCAGGCCGAGGCAGGTGAATCACGAGGTCAGGAATTTGAGACCAGCCTGGCCAACAGCGTGAAACCCTGTCTCTACTGAAAATACAAAAATTAGCTGGGCGTGGTGGTGCACACCCATAGTCTCAGCTACTAGGGAGGCTGAAGCAGGAAGATCAATTGAACCAGGAGGTGGAGGTTGTGGTGAGCCAAGATCACACCGCTGCACTCCAGCCTGGGCAACAAGAGTGAAACTCCATCTCAAAACAAACCAACAAACCAACAAATAAACCAGTAAAAGTTATACCAGATTTTCAACTGGGCAGGGGTTGGTGCCCCAATCCCCACATTGTTCAAGAATCAACTGTATACTATAATCAAATTCTTGGAAAGAAAACCAAGAGTTAAATATATCCTTTTATTTTGGTACATTATCAATCCAGTCCTATTTTATTTATCATACTTTATTTTTTCCCTGTATCATCTTCCCCCATAGTAGGTAGCAATAGATCATATATCAAACAACTATGTTTGTATCCTTGAAAATATGCCTTTGGTATCTTTGTATCCTTGAAATACGTATAATGCCTTTTTGTTTGTTATTTATGTGTATGTATTTGTAATATTCATAAATGTTATTACACTGATAGTGCTATGGTCTGAATGTGTTCCTCTAAAACTTATGTGTTAAAACCTGATCACCAACATGATAGTATTGGAGGTGGAGCCCTTTGGGAGGTGATTAGGTCATGAGGGCACAGCCTCCTGAATGGGATTAGTGCTCTTATAAAAGAGGCCTCTGAGAGTGGCCTTGCCCCTTCTGCCATGTGAGGACACAGTGAAAAGACGCTGTCTGTGAGGAACGGTCCCTCACCAGAGACCAAGTCTGCTGGCATCTTGATCTTGGGCTTCCCAGCCTCCAGAACTATGAGAAAGTAAATTTCTGTTGTTATAAGCCACCTGGTTTGAGTTATTTTTGTTATGTAGCCCAAATGGACTAAGATAGATTTCAAACAGTTTCTTATAATTTTCATTCAACTCTGTGTTTGAAGATCTATCCATGAGACTGCATGTAAATCTAAATCCATGTTGTTTCCAAATCTGTTGATGCCAGATTATATGATTATTTAAAATAAGTAATTATATATAATATTATAGATTGATAAAATAAGTATCAAATGAAAGTAGAGTTACTGTTTCCCTGAGAACTAAGTTGACTTTTTTGGAAAATTTTGATAAAGCAAGTCACTGAAGAAATTGCTGAATTAGTAGGTATGAACAAGGTAATACTAAAAAACTGAAAAAAATTATAAAATTCTAGAGTTTCAGTTGCTTTTCCAGTGCCTTCAAGTATTTTTTTTCTTTATCTTAAAGAAACTGAAATAGGAACTCAGAAATGATGCATTATGAGCAAGGTTACATAAGAAAGGAGATGAAGAACTATAATAAATGGACCTATTTTAAAGAAAAGGCTTTGGTCCTATATGAAAAGTATGTTCATTTATTTAAGTTAAAGTAAAATGTTTCATATATATTTAAGTTAAAGTAAAATGTTTCACATATATTGGTTTCACTTTTTATTATTCTCTGCTTTCACTGACTTTGGAATTAACTGACCACTTCCATTCCATTGTATCAGATAGCAGGCTCACTATTCTATGTGCTTAAGGAAGCTGAGCCTAGAAATGGAAGGTGGGGAACAGAAACTGCCATTTGAGTTACACAGTTTTTAAGAAGAAATTGAAGTAACATGTAAAATGCTCACATTATGATATTAATTTGAAATGCACTATACAAAATAATATACACAGTATATTTATACCTATTGTTATAAGTAAAATGTTTATTCAGAAACAGAATGCTTATTTCTCAGTACTGCAAGGAAAAATTAGCATTCAGATAAAAAGTTTTCTCAGCAAGGCAATTGTACTTTCTGCAGAAAGGATGCTCCTCGCAGATGGAGCAATGGCGAGAGCACCCTTTCTGCAGAAAGTAAAATTGCCTTGCTGAGAAAACTTTTTATCTGAATGCTAATTTTTCCTTGCAGTACCGAGAAACAAGCATTCTGTTTCTGGATAAACATTTTACTTACAACAAAATGGTGACCCATACAGGGATACACTTTCCTCTGGGGGCAGTCTCTAGTCCTCTCTAATGAGGAGGTGCCCCACTGCCTCACTGCAGTGGCCTCAGGGGTAAGGAATTGAGACCCACTCAGTATGATGAATAAATCTGGACTCTCAGCAATATGGAAAGAAACTGGCTGGCAACCTGGAGTAAAGGATCCTCACATACCACGTGGACCAGGTAACCTTGTGCACGAGCCAAGGAAGGAAACACTGGAGGAGCCGGTAAAGTATTTCCTTGGTGGTCAGGACTAAGGAAAGAAAGCCGCAGGGTGGTAAAACATTCCTTGGACAGGATATACCAAGGAAACAGACACCGCAGAGGCAGTAGAGCATTCCTTAGTCAGGACTAAGGAAAGAAAAGCCATGGGAGGCGGTGAAGTATTTCTTAGGGTGTCTTAGAGGTTAAAAAGAGGTGAAAAATCCCCATTAGGGAGAGACTGAACCTCACACAATCCTCCAGCAATAGGAAAAATATTCAAAACTTCCCTTTCCTCTCTTCTCGGTGGAAGAAAGAGGCTAAGCTCCACTCCCACCAGCTGCTCCCTAGGGGAAAGGGAAGGAGAGGGGAGAACAGCAGCGTAGGCGGCTGGCAGAGGCAAGGGAAAGACCAGCAGAGAGGAAAGAGAAACTAGGAGAGGAAGTTAGAGAGAAAGAGAGCAACAGCAGCAAGCGCAGCTCCACATTGTTGTAGATTACTAGCACCTGGAAGAGTGGCAGTGGCTAGGATGCTCTCCTCGCACCCAGCCATGCAGCTAGAGCCATCCAGGCCACCAGCTGTCGAGCCCCAAGCCTTCTGTGCTGCTCAGGTACGTCCTGCCACCCTCGGAGGACAGCTGGCCATGGACGCCTGCAAGTTAGAGCTGAGCAGGAAAGTGTGAGTGTGCCGGGGCCAGGATACCATGCCGCGCAGCCCGGCAGCCAAGAGGTAGGTCCCTCTCCCTAGCCTGGCTCTGCGTGGAAGAAGAGGTCAAGGACTGGTGCCAGGAGGAGAGCAGAGGAGGTGAAAGAGCATGATCGTACAACTTACGGCAGGCACCTGCCAAGCCTCTGGGCCAGCAACAGCCCGGGGCCTGGGCTGTGGCCACAAGGATCCCACCCAGCCCAAGAAACTAAGTGTAAGAGAGGAAGGGAGAAAGTAAAAAGGAAAATCAGAAAGAAACAGGAGAGACAGATGGCGGCACATGCTCTGGGGCAGGGCCCATGCCATTGCCTGGCCCTGCCAGCTGCAAGAGTGGGAGAACTCAGGAGGGAGACAGCGCAAATGAGAGAGAGAGATAGAGGGAGAGAATAAGTGAGCGAGAGACTGAAAGAGACAGAGATCAGAGAAAGACACAGAAGGTAAGACTAGGAAGAAAAAGTGTAAAAAGAAGTCAGAAAGTTAAGGCATGTCAAAGATTGTCTGTGAAAGTCATAAAAAAAGTTATAAAAGGGAATTTATGCAAGAAATATTGTATAATTTAAAAGTAATTAGGCCTCCTGAATATAAAACTATTAAAGTTTGTTAAGTTTCTTAGAAACTTAACAGGATGCAGTGAAGTCAGACACTTCCAAGAGCTGACCCATCAGTCCGCCCTTATTCATCCCTAAGCAAATGTATAATAGTATTATAGAGGACATTTACTGAACACTCTGCCAAATAATTAGAGCAGTATTTGTGCTCTAGTTCAACTGGCTATCCATTTTACTCTAGCATTTCATCAACCAGAAAAACTTTTTCTTTTAAAAACTCAAGCAAAACAGCTAAGCCAAACATGTTAAAAAAAGTTTGAAGAGAAAAAAACTATAAAATCAAGAGGAAGGAATTGTAAAAATAAAAAGTTTCCTCTTCAAAGTTTCCCTTCTTGTTAAAGAATAAATCATAAGTGTTAGAAATAATAGTTTCTTTTAAAGACTAACTTCCTTCAAGCCTTCAAGCCTCCTTACTTTGTGCTAATAACTCTTTGCTAAGCCCTATCCTATGTAGCTGTTAGACATGCTCACAGGCATGTAGTACATCCTGTGTCCTTGTACTTTAACCGAGATATCTGTGCTGGACGTGCTCACAGGCATGTTCCAGTTCGCAGTCTATGCCCCTTTATTATTTAGGAATGTTATTATTTTTCTAAGTCTTTTCGTAAGCAACCTCCTTTTTTCCTTTGTTCCCTATTGCCTTTACCTATTTAGGAAAGTTTTAAATTATTAGCCCGTCAGGTTCAGCTTAGATTGTGAGGTCTAGCTTCAGTCAATGGAGACAAGACACAGTAGCAAGGACAAGCCCTGTAAAGGATAAAAATTGCTTCCCTCCTTTATTCAGGTGCACTCTTGCCATTGTTCCATCTGTGAGGAGCACCCTTTCTGCAGAAACTAAAACTGCCTTGCTAAGAAAATTTTTTGTCTAAATGCTGTTTTTTTCTTGTAGTACCAAAGAACAAGCATTCTGTTTCTAAGTAAACATTTTACTTATAACACCTATTATGACATTGTTTGCAAAGATGGCTGCAAGAATTTTTCCCATTCCCATATGCATGTCCCGTATGCAGTGTAACTTGCTATTTCTCCATAAGAGGTAGAGTTTATGTCACCATCCTATGAGTTAGGGATATGTGGCCAAACCTAGGCTTCTGCTCTCACCGTCTTGGAACACTGCCCTGAGACTGCCACAGAAGAAGCCAGGTCTAGTCTGGAGGATAACACTAGACCTGGGTTATCCAGCAGAGGCAAGTGTTCCAGCTGAGGCCCCTTAGATTAATGAGGCCATCTTAGGTCATGTAGTTGCAGACGAATTAGCAGATGCCCACATCACATCCACGAACCCAGATGAAACCAGCAGAACTGCATGGCTACTCACAGCCCAAACTATTGACGGATAGAATTGGTTTTTTTGTTTTGTTTTGTTTTGTTTTGTTTTGTTTTTTGAGAGGGAGTCTCACTCTGTCACCCAGGCTGGAGTGCAGTGGTGTGATCTCGGCTCACTGCAACCTCCACCTCCTGGGTTCACACCATTCTCCTGCCTCAGCCTCCCGAGTAGCTGGGACTACAGGCACCCGCCATGACGCCTGGCTAATTTTTTGTATTTTTAGTAGAGACGGGGTTTCACTGTGTTAGCCAGGATGGTCTCGATCTCCTGACCTCGTGATCTGCCTGCCTTGGCCTCCCAAAGTGCTGGGATTACAGGTGTGAGCCACCATGCCCGGCCCAGAATTGGTTGTTGTTCTAAGCAATTAGGTTTTGAGTGGTTTGTTATACTACAATAGACAACAGGAGTCTACAGGAAAGCCATGCATTAAAAAAAAAAAGAAGAAGAAGTGAACAATACAATTGACAATGAGTTTTGAAGGAATGTGTTATTAGGTGGCAAAGAGGGCTTGGATATGGAAAGCAAAAATAATGGCTTGGGAATGAATGGCTTATTGTGTTTTTATTTATTAAAAACTCAGACATTCCTCAACATTTTCCCAGCTGAGCCTAGAAGGGAAATCCATTTACAAAAATGTTAATATTATACTTTTATACTTATTAAAATCAAATGAAGAAATTTAAAATATTAGCTTACCAGAGTTTTGGTGCAGTATCCAAAGGCAGCTTCAAAGGAAATCTCATGACTCTCTTGTAATATTTTTGGGCCATAAGATTCCACAATAACATACAGACCAGTGTTTTCTGGATAGACGATCTGAGTCCAAACTGTCAGAGCCTCTCCCTTGTCCAAAAAGTAAAAAACATGAGCAACATTGTTATGAAATGCCATGTATGGGCATTTGTCTTTTGTTGTGAAAGCTATACTTTGTGCTTCCAGATGTAAGGGATAGTCCTGTATTTGTATTGTGCCATCATCCAAAGCATACAGGAAATATGTTTGACCAGATGTACTTAAGAAAATGAATGCTCTTGTTGTGTAATTTGTCCATAAATGCAGCTTTACTGCATCTCTAGTATTAATCTTGGAATAAAATATTACATTATTTTCCATTTTTACCAAAATATCTCCATAATAATCTGGAAAAAAGAGAAAAGTTTGTGTTAGTCTAAGTAACCATAAATCGTGCTGTTTTAGTTAAGTGTACTTTTAACCAAAATAATTTCTTTGATAATGACCGAGTATTTTCATACTTTGAGAAAGTTAGAATGTGCAGATATGAACCCATAACTTTACACTATATTGGGGAACTTCTCTGCCACTTCATTGTATTAGTTTTCTTCTTGAATACTATATCACTTATATAACATCATTTAACATAAAAAGCTGGAATTCATGTATTCAGTAATAACAAGGATGAGCATGGCAGGAATAGAGCTATTAGGAATTCTGCATTGTGTTGTGGATTGAATTGTGTCCCCCCAAATTCTTGTGTTGAAGCCCTAACGTCCAATGAGACTGTATTTGGAGACAGGGCCTTTAGGAGGTAATTAAGGTAAAATGGGCTAAGAAGCAGGGGGTCCTAGTCCAACAGAACTGGCGCCCTTATAAGAAAAGGAAGAGACACCAGGGATCTCTCCGGACACACAGAGAAGAAAGGCCACATGAGGACACAGCAAGACGGCGACTGTCTACAAGCCAGGAACTGAGGCCTCATAGAAACTAATCCTGACAGTACCTTGATCTTGGACTTCTAGCCTCTAGAAATATGAGAAAATCTAAATTTCTGTTGTTTAAGCTGCCCAGTCTGTGGGATTTTGTTATGGCAACCCTAGCAGGCTAATATAGCTGGAATGAAGACATGGAGGTGAGTGGGGGTGAGAGTGGTATAAAGCATAGCCTACCTCTGCAGGTTCACTCATAGCAGATAATCAGCTTTCTCCACTTAATATTCTGCCTAAGTCACAGTGGGTCATAGTGGGTAACTATCTTAACCTCTTTAGTTCTGTTGCTATGTCTGTAAAATGAACAGTTGGGCTAGATGATTTCATAGTTTTCTTTCAAGATATGACATTCTCTGTGTACAGCCTCTAGGAATATACTTTGTCAAAAGACAACACTTGGAGAGGACTGGCTGGAAGGAAGAGGGGAATTCATCAAGTCAGGGAGGTTCAGGCTGTGTTGTGTTTATGCATCTTACATTTGAAATCAGAATAAGTCAGTAACATTTTTACAAATTACTATAAATTGTATTCTACTTAAACTTATCTAATCAGAAATATATGCAGTAGATCACAAGGTGGAAGGGGAGAAATGTGAATGGATGACATAATAACATATAATTCCATGCTGAATAAAAAAGTAATTGCAGGATGCATGCAGTATAATGATATATAAAATTTAAAACTTCAGGAAACAAAACAATACATTGTTTTTGGATTATATATAATGTCCAAGTTGCTTCATGATATGGCCTGTCTGTTCTTTAGCCAGGTTTGTCTCTTGCCATTTTTTGCCTTACACTGTGTTATCTAGTCAGACTGACCTAATTTCAGTTCCCCAAACTTGCCATGTTCTTTCCTACCTCCACATCTTTGCACATGCTGTATTCTCAGCTTGGAATGCTACCTCAATCCCCCAGCCTAACCAGTGAAATCATTTTCTAATATATATACTCTCTCCCTAGTTTTCAGTTTAGAAGTCATTTCCTCCACACCTAGTTTTCTGATCCCATACATCTGGATTGATGTTCCCAATATTTGCTTTCATAGCACCTTCTCTTTTGCTGATCACACTGCTGACTACAAACCTTATAAATCATCCTTGCTTTAAATATGAAGTTAAAATGAGAATTAAGAATGATTTAAAAGATAATGTGGCTAAAGCCACACAGAGAAAAATTCATAGCCTTTTGCTTGTGTGTAGCTTTAAATGCTTAGAAAATAAGAAAGACTAAAAATAAATGAAATAACCATTTAACTTAATAAGCAGGCAAGAGATGACTAAAGTTACAAAAAGAAAGCAGAAGTAAAGAATCAATAATGACAAAAGCAGAAATTAAATTAAAAAGAAAGTAGATAAAATTAAGAATTCTTTTTAAAAGGAAAAGAAAACAAAACCTAAAAAAACACAATCTCTTGCAAGCCAAACTAACAAGGGGGTTAGGCACAAGCAATATTATAAATGAGGAAGATAATTATAGGTACATAAGAAATTTAAAAGTTAAAATAGCCTACTTTTGCCAATAAATTAGAAAATCTACATAAAATGAATTATTTCCTAGAAAGACAAGAACTTCTGAAATTGACTCAAGAAGGGATAAAATATTAGAATAGATCAATTAGAGAAAATAAAAATAATGAAAAGATACAACATTCCTGGTTGGGAAGATAAATATTGCAAACATCTATTCAACAAATGTATTGAATGCTTACTATGGGGCTATACTGTTCTAGGTACTTAGGAGGAAAATATTCATGAAAAAACAGAAAAGTCCTTCTCTTGTGTAGCTTACATTCCAGCAGAGAAGACTGCCAATAAACATGAAAATAAATTATTTAGTGTGTTAGGTGATTAAGGATATAGTAATCAAAAAAGTATAGCACTAGGACAAATAGATTAGTGGAACAGAATAGCCTAGAAACAATCCGGTTAATGTGAGGAATGAATACATAATACAAGTAGCATTTCAGATCAGTGGGAGAGGTTTGCTTAATAGAAGAATGGTTTAAGGCAACATCAGCTTTCAATGGGAAAAATACCATTAGATTCCTAACTCTTGCTAAATATCAAAACATAAAAATCAGAATTATAAGAATAATGAAAATATATAATATCTTTATAATTGAAATGACCTGTCATATTATGGCATATCAGAAGTTACAAATAAAAATATTAATAAATTTGACCATTTAAAAATACAAATTCTAAATACCAAACTCCCTCCAAAAAGTTACAGGAAGTTACACACTAGAGAAAATATTTGCAATACATGAGATAAAGAACATATCAGTATAGATAAACCCAATGCAAAAATGTCCAAACAGTATGAATAGAAAATTCACAGAAAAGGGGGAGTTGTGGGCAAGATGGGAGAATAGGAACAGCTCCAGTCTGCAGTTCCCAGCGAGATCAACGCAGAAGGCGGGTGATTTCTGCATTTCCAACTGAGGTTTAGCTCATTGGGACTGGTTAGACAGTGGGTGCAGCCCACGGAAGACGAGCTGAAGCAGGGTGGGGCGTCGTCTCACTGGGGAAGTGCAAGGGGTCAGGGAACTCCCTCCCCTAGCCAAGGGAAGCCACGAGGGACTGTGCCATGAGGAACAGTCTGGTCTTCCATAAGGAACCCATGGTATCCCTCCCCTAGCCAAGGGAAGCCATGAGGGACTGTGCCATGAGGAACAGTCTGGTTCCTCCATGAGGAACCCACGGTCTTTGCCACCCACAGACCAGGAGACTCCCTCAGGTTACTACACCACCAGGGCGCTGGGTTTCAAGCACAAAACTAGGCAGCCGTTTGGGCAGACACCAGGCTAGCTGCAGGAGTTTTTTGTCTTTGTTTTTGTTTTTGTTTTTTTTCATACCCCAGTGGTGCCAGGAACACCAGTGAGAGAGAACGATTCACTCCGCTGGAAAGGGGGCTGAAGCCAGGGAGCCAAGTGGTCTAGCTCAGTGGATCCCACCCCTATGGAGTCCAGCAAGCTAAGATCCACTGGCTTGAAATTCTCACTGCCAGCACAGCAGTCTGAAGTGACCTGGGACACCCGAACTTGGTGGGGGTAGGAGCGTCTGCCATTACTGAGGCTTGAGTAGGCGGTTTTCCCCTCACAGTGGAAATAAAGCTGCCAGGAAGTTCTAACTGGGCGGAGCCCACCACAGCTCGGCACAGCTGCCATAGCCAGACTGCCTCTCTAGATTCCTCCTCTCTGGGCAGCGCATCTCTGAAAGAAAGGCAGCAGCCCCACTCAGGGGCTTATAGATAAAACCCTCATCTCCCTGGGACAGAGCACCTGGGGAAAGGGGTGGCCCTGGGCGCAGCTTCAGCAGACTTAAACGTTCCTGTGAGCCAGCTCTGAAGAAGCAGTGGGTCTCCGAGCACAGCCCTCAAGCTCTGCTAAGGGACAGACGGCTTCCTCAAGTGGGTCCCTGACCCCTGTGTCTCCTGACTGGAAGACACCTCCTAGCAGGGGTTGACAGACACCTCATACAGAAGAGCTCTGGCTGGCATCTGGCGGGTGCCCCTCTGGGACAAAGCTTCCAGAGGAAGGAACAGGCAGCAATCTTTGCTGTTCTGCAGTCTCTGCTGGTGATACCCAGGCAAACAGGGGCTGGAGTGGACCTCCAGCAAACTCCAGCAGACCTGCAGGAGAGGAGCCTGACTGTTAGAAGGAAAACTAACAAACAGAAAGGAATAGCATCAACATCAACAAAAAGGACATCCACACAAAAACCCCATGTAAAGGTCACCAACATCAAAGACCAAAGGTAGATAAATCCACAAAGATGAAGAAAAACCAATGCAAAAAGACTGAAATTTCAAAAACCAGAATGCCTCTTCCCCTCCAAAGGATCACAACTCCTCGTGAGCAAGGGAACAAAACTGGACAGAGAATGAGTTTGATGAACTGACATAAGTAGGCTTCAGAGGGGAGTAATAACAAACTCCTCTGAGCTAAAGGAGCATGTTCTAACCCAATGCAAGGAAACTAAGAACCTTGAAAAAAGGCTAGATGAATTGCTAACTAGAATAACCAATGTAGAGAAGGACATAAATAACCTGATGGAGCTTCACAGCACGAGAACTTTGTGGAGTATACACCAGTATCAATAGCCAAATCGATCAAGCAGAAGAAAGGATATCAGAGATTAAAGATCAACTTAATGAAATAAGCATAAAGAAAAGATTAGAGAAAAAAGAATGAAAATGAATGAACAAATCCTTCAAGAAATATGGAATATATGAAAAGACCAAACCTATATTTGATTGGTGTACCTGAAAGTGATGGGGAGAATGGAACCAAGTTGGAAAACACTCTTCAGGATACTATCCAGGAGAAGTTCCCCAACCTAACAAGACAGGCCAACATTCAAATTCAGGAAATACAGAGAACACCAAAAAGATACTCCTCGCGAAGAGCAACCACAAGACAAACAATCATCAGATTCACCAAGGTTGAAATGAAGGAAAAAATGTTAAGGGCAGCTAGAGAGAAAGGTTGGGTTACCCACAAAAAGAAGCCCATCAGACTCACAGCAGATCTCTCTGCAGAAACCCTACAAGCCAGAAGAGAGTGGGGGACAATATTCAACATTCTTAAAGAAATGAATTTTCAACATAGAATTTCATATTCAGCCAAACTAAGCTTCATAAGCAAAGGAGAAATAAAATCCTTTACAGACAAGCAAATGCTGAGAGATTTTGTCACCACCAGGCCTGCCTTACAAGAGCTCCTGAAGGAAGCACTAAATATGCAAAGGAAAAACCAGTACCAGCCACTGCAAAAACATGCCAAATTGTAAAGGCCATCGACACTATGAAGCAACTGCATCAAATAACGAGCAAAATAACCAGCTAGCATCATAATGAAAAGATCAAATTCACACAAAACATATTAACCTTAAATGTAAATGGGCTAAATGCCCCAATTAAAAGACACAGAATGGCAAATTGGATCAAGAGTCAAGACCCATTGGTGTGCTGTATGCAAGACACCCATTTCACGTGCAAAGACACACATAGGCTCAAAGGGATGAAGGAATATTTACCAAGCAAATGGAAAGCAAAAAAAAAAAAAAAAAAAAAAAAAAAAAAAAAAAGCAGGGGTTGCAATCCTAGTCTCTGATAAAACAGACTTTAAACCAGCAAAGATCAAAAAAGACAAAGAAGGGCATTACATAATGGTAAAGGAATCAATGCAACAAGAAGAGCTAACTATCCTAAATATACATGCACCCAATAAAGGAGCACCCAGATTCATAAAGCAAGTTCTTAGAGACCTACAAAGAGACTTAGACTCCCACACAATAATAGTGGGAGACTTAAACACCCCACTGTCAATACCAGACAGATCGACGAGAGAGAAAATTAACAAGGATATCCAGGACTTGAACTCAGCCCTGGACCAAGCGGACCTAATAGACATCTACAGAACTCTCCACCCCAAATTGACAGAATATACGTTCTTCTCAGCACCACATCAAACTTATTTTAAAATCGACCACATAATTAATTAGAAGTAAAACACTCCTTAGCAAATGCAAAAGAATGGAAATCATAACAAACAGTCTCTCAGACCACAGTGCAATCAAATTAGAACTCAGGATTAAGAAACTTACTCAAAACTACACAACTACATGGAATCTGAATAACCTGCTCCTGAATGACTACTGGGTAAATAAATTAAGGCAGAAATAAATAAGTTCTTTGAAACCAATGAGAACAAAGACACAACGTACCAGAATCTCTGGGACAGAGCTAAAGCAGTGTTTATAGCACTAAATCCCCACAGGAGAAAGCAGGAAAGGTCTAAAATTGACACCCTAACATCACAATTAAAAGAACTAGAGAAGCAAGAGCAAACAAGTTCAAAAGCTAGCAGAAGACAAGAAATAGCTAAGATTGGAGCAGAAGTGAAGGAGATAGAGACACGAAAAACCCTTCAAAAAATCAATGAATCCAGGAGCTGGTTTTTTGAAAAGAATCTATGAATCTTGAAATCTATGAATCTATGAATCTATGAAATCTATGAATCTATGAAAAAAATCAATGAAACCAGGAGCTGGTTTTTTGAAAAGATCAACAAAATAGACCACTAGTCAGCCTAATAAAGAAGAAAGGAGAGAAGAACCAAATAGACACAATAAAAAAAGATAAAGGGGATATCACCACTGATCCCACAGAAATACAAACTACCATCAGAGAATAAACACCTCCATGCAAACAAACTAGAAAATCTAGAAGAAATGGATAAATTGCTGGACACATACACCCTCCCAAAATGAAACCAGGAAGAAGTCAAATCCTTGAATAGACCAATAACAAGTTCTGAAACTGAGACAGTAATGAATAGCCTACTAACCAAAAAAAGCCAAGGACCAGACAGATTCACAGCCAAATTCTACCGGAGGTACAAAGAGGAGCTGGTACCATTCCTTCTGAAACCATTCCAAACAACAGAAAAAGAGGGACTCCTCACTAATTCATTTTATGAGGCCAGCATCATTCTGACACCAAAACCTGGCAGAGACACAACAAAAAAAGAAAATTTCAGGCCAATATCCCTGATGAACATCGTTGCAAAAATCCTCAGTAAAATACTGACAAACAAAATCCAGCAGCACATTAAAAAACTTATCCACTACGATCAAGTCGGCTTCATCTCTGGGATGCAAGGCTGGTTCAATATATGCAAATCAATAAATGTAATCCATCTCATAAACAGAACCAATGACAAAAACCACATGTTTGTCTCAATAGATGCAGAAAAGGCCTTCAATAAAATTCAACACCCCTTCATGCTAAAAACTCTCAATAAACTAGGTATTGATGCAATGTGTCTCAAAATAATAAAAGCTATTTATGACAAACCCACAGCCAATATCATACTGAATAGGCAAAAGCTGGAAGCATTCCCTCTGAAAACTGGCACAAGACAAGGATGCCTTCTCTCACCACTCCTATTCAACATAGTATTGGAAGTTCTGGCTAGGGCAATCAGGCAAGAGAAAGAAATAAAGGGTATTCAAATAGGAAGAGAGGAAGTCAAATTGCCTCTGTTTGGAGATGACATGATTGTATATTTGGAAAACCCCATTGTCTGAACCCAAAATCTCCTTAGGCTGGTAAGCAACTTCAGCAACGTCTCAAGATACAAAATCAATGTGCAAAAATCACAAGCATTCCTATAGACCAATAACAGACAGAGAGCCAAATCATGAGTGAACTGCCATTCACAGTTGCTACAAAGAGCATAAAATACCTAGGAATACAACTTACAAGGGATGTAAAGGACCTCTTCAAGGAGAACTACAAACCACTGCTCAAGGAAATAAGAGAGGACACAAACAAAAGGAAAAACATTCCAGGCTCATGGATAGGAAGAATCAGTATTGTGAAAATGGCCATACTGCCCAAAGTAATTTATAGATTCAATGCTATCCCCATCAGACTACATTAACTTTCTTCACAGAATTAGAAAAAACTACTTTAAATTTCATATGGAACCAAAAAAGAGCCTGTATAGCCAAGACAATCCTAAACAAAAAGAACAAAGCTAGAGGTATCACGCTACCTGACTTGAAACTATACTACAAGGCTACAGTAACCAAAACAGCATGGTACTGGTACCAAAACAGATATATAGACCAATGGAACAGAACAGAGGCCTCAGAAATAATGCCACACATCTACAACAATCTGATCTTTGACAAACCTGACAAAAACAAGCAATGGGGAAAGGATTCCCTATTTAATAAATGGTGTTGGGAAAACTGGCTAGCCATATGCAGAAAGCTGAAACTGGATCCCTTCCTTACACCTTATACAAAAATTAAGATGGATTAGAGACTTAAACTTAAGACCTAACACCACAAAAACCCTAAAAGAAAACCTAGGCAATACCATTCAGGACATAGGCATGGGCAAAGATTCATGACTAAAACACCAAAAGCAACGGCAACAATAGCCAAAATCGACAAATGGGATCTAATTAAACTAAAGAGCTTCTGCACAGCAAAAGAAACTATCATCAGAGTGAAAAGGCAACCTACAGAATGGGAGAAAATTTTTGCAGTCTATCCATCTGACAAAGGGCTAATATCCAGAATCTACAAAAACCTGAACAAATTTACAAGAAAAAATAACCCCATCAAAAAGTGGGTGAAGGATATGAACAGACACTTCTCAAAAGAAGACATTTATGCAGCCAACAAACATGGAAAAAAGCTCATCATCACTGGTCATTAGAGAAATGCAAATCAAAACCACAATGACATACCGTCTCACGTCAGTTAGAATGGTGATCTTTAAAAAGTCAGGAAACAACAGATGCTGGAGAGGACGTGGAGAAATAGGAATGCTTTTACACTGTTGGTAGCAGTGTAAATTAGTCTATCCATTGTGGAAGACACTGTGGCAACTGCTCAAGGATCTAGAACTAGAAATACCATTTGACTGAGCAATCCCATTACTGGGTGTATACCCAAAGTATTATAAATTATTCTACTATAAAGACATATGCACACCTATGTTTATTGCAGCACAGTTCACAATAGCAAATACTTGGAACCCAAATGCCCATTAATGATAGGCTGGATACCAACCCAAATGCCCATCAGTGATAGACTGGATAAAGAAAATGTGGCACATATACACCATGGAATACTATGCAGCCATGAAAAAGGCTGAATTCATGTCCTTTGCAGGGACATGGATAAAGCTGGAAACCATCATTCTCAGCAAACTAACACAGGAACAGAAAACCAAATACCGTATGTTCTCACTCATAAGTGGGAGTTGAACAATGAGAACACATCAACACAGGGAGGGGAACATCACACACCAAGGCCTGTCAGGGGTTGGGAGGGTAGGGGAGGGATAACATTAGGAGAAATACCTAATGTAGATGACAGGTTGCTGGGTGCAGTCAACCACCATGGCACGTGTATACCTATGTAACAAACCTGCACATTCTGCACATGTATCCCAGAACTTAAAGTATAATAAACAAATAAAAAATAAAACAGAAATAAGGAAATGACAAGAAAAAAAGGAAATTCACAGAAGAATATGGCCAATAAATTTGTGAAACTAGATAAAACATCTAATTATAAAAGATATGTGCAATAAAATAACATTTTTCTTCTATATAACCAGTAACTGTTAAACAGATTCTATGAAAATGATACATTTTCAATACTTTTGGGGGAGTTTAGACTGTGACAAACTTTGCTGGTGGGTAAGTGAGAAGGATTTATCAACTTTTTAAATATTCGTAATCTCTGATTCAGGAATTCTATATCCAGTAATTTATATTACAGAAACACTTGTATCAGTGTGTGTACATATGCATATTTTCTGCAGCATTATTTGTAACAGAAAAAGAACTGAAGGCTAATATGTATCTAAATATCTATCTACACCCCTATTAATTAGACAGTAGTGTGCATAGACAGTGGAACAATACACAGCAGTTAAAATGGCATTCGTTTTATATCTATTATATGTATTGTTTTGAAAACATGCCCATTATATTTAGTATTTGCTTGTTTGAAAGTCTGGACAAACTCACAGGAGCTTTTTTTTTTTTTTTTTTTTTGAGACAGGATCTCGCTCTGTTGTCCAGGCTGGGGAGTTCAGTGAGGTGAACATGGCTCACTGCAGCCTTGACCTCCCGGGCTCAAGTGATCCTCCTGCCTCAGTCTTCTGAGTAGCTGGGACCACAGGCGTGTACCACCATGCCCAGCTAATTTTTAAGTTTTTAGTAGGGATGAGGTCTCACCATGTTGCACAGGCTGGACTCGAACTCCTGGAGTCAAGTGATCCTCCCACCTTGGCCTTCCAAAGTGCTGGCATTAGAAGCGTGAGCCACCACGCCTGGCCTCACAGGAGTTTCTTAATAGTTGGTTATTTGGGAAATGAGAATGGTGAGAGATGAAGGCCTTTAACTTCATACTTCATACACTTATGAATTGTTTGAGCGTGTTATATTTCATTGTTTCTGAATGACCTTCAGTACAACATTCAAACTGGGTATCTGACCTCTAAAATCTATCCCCAATGTATGATTCTAACTTTGTCTTCTTATCACTGTGGCTCATGGTTGTTTAAAAAACACATATGATCCTGTTTCATATGTGCTGTATAACACAAAACCTCCCTCTACAGGTTTCAGAGGGAACACGGCCCTATCAACACCTTGATATTCCACTTCTAGCCTCCAGAACTGTGAAGTCATACATTTATGTTGTTTTAAGTCATCCAGTTTGTGGTACTTTGTTACGGGAGCCCCAGGAAACGTAACACAATACCACAGCACCTCCTACACCCTACGATGTATATATAAATTGCTTAGTTAGAATCTACTGATTGACCAAAATGAAACTCCCCTCTCCCCGGCAAAAAGAAATTGAGTTTGCCCTTTTGCTATGTGAGATCATAGTTAACATTACTTGTATTTAAAGTCAATTCATTTGTAGGTGATAAGAAGTGCACCTTTGGCTGCCAAAAACGCCACACATTGGTACATTAAAAAGTGTTACATCATTATAAGGAAGATGTCTATAGTGAAATCTAGAATAATGTTAGTGGACTGAGAATGCCTTACCTATGAAAACTTCATGAATAATGCTGTCATTTGATAGCATTGATAGATTTCCATGTCCTGCAGGTGTCTGTAAAATCCCAGTAAAGGTGAAATTATGGTAACAATAGTAGATACTATGCTTGTTCCATAGCAGTAATCCTGGCAGTGCTGAAAATGTAAAATGTGGCATGGTAACACTGTCAATAGGGGCATCTAATGTAAAGTCTTGGGAAACCCACTGTTTTGTATCTTCATTATATATCACTAAGAAAATCTTTTTGGTGACGTTACATACAGTGCAATAATTTAAAAACACAGCAATCTCCAGAGGGTGTCCTGTATACTCAACCCTGTCTATGGTCAGAGTAGCAGTCACCGATAGACTTAGGATGTTTTTCAGTTCTGTGGTAGTTACTAATCTGGCAAACTTAAGAAGAATGGATCCGAGGTAAATTTCATTTTCTGTCCAGACTGCAAAGGTGCTTCTTCTTCCTTTAGCCTGTGACAAAATGAAAAATGATGAGAAAGATCTTCGATTTTAGAGACGGGCCTAACAATTTCTCTTTTTTAAAATTTAAATTTTATTTTTTATTTTTTTAAATTTTCTTTCAATAGGTTTTTGGGGAACAGGTGGTGTTATATGAATAAGTTCTTCAGTGGTGGTTTCTGAGATTCTGGTGCACCCATCACCTGAGCAGTGTACACTGTACCCAATGTATAGTCTTTTATCCCTCACCCCACTCCCATCCTGCCCCCCCACCCCCGCCCAAGTCTCCAAAGTCCATTGTATCATTCTTACGCCTTTGTGTCCTCATACCTTAGCTACCAAGGTCTAACAACTTCCATCTTCTAATTTGCTACATTTAAAATACAGAGACCAGGTGTGGTGGTTTCATGCCTATAATCCCTGCACTTTGGGAGGCTGAGGCAGGAGAATCACTTGAAGTCAGAGGTTTGAGACCAGCCTGGGCAACAAAATGAGACCCCATTTCTACAAAAGTTAAAAACTAGTTGGGGGTGGTGGCGTGTGTCTGTAGTCTCAGCTATTTGGGAGGCTGAGGTGGAAGGATCACTTGAGCCCAGGAGTTCAAGGATGCAGTGAGCCATGATCATGCCACTGCACTCCAGCCTGGGTGACAGAGCAAGACCCTGTCTCTAAATAAATAAATAAATAAAAATTAAAGGTAGTAAATACTAAGGTTTGATTTGTTTCAATATATTTTTGAATAATACTTCAGGCATAGAAATATATTAAATAGAAATTGGTCATATTACATATAACCATAAAAATAAATTATCCCAATTATTTGTTTATAAATTGTTTCTATCGGTAGGACTAATAAATTTTAATTCCTTTTAAATCTTTTAAGCACATCAGCCTTCTCTTTGTGTATTTATCACTCTGGCCTGGAGTGTGCCTTTCACCTTGATGTTTACTAAGGTCAATATATAAAGTCTCTTCAAATATTAACTCATTTTTGGAATTCTAGATTCCTTGGTTATCAGATAAAGAGAAGAGAAACTTAAAGCCTTAGACAAATGAATTCTACCCTTTCATGGATATAGGCTGCTAGTATTCAGAAACTGCTGTGCCTGAAACTTGGTGGGCCTAATTTCATCAAGGAGTCCAAGGCCTCCCTTCTCCTCTGCCTCCTCTCCCCACTGTTTCTAATTTTTTGGGATTTTTACTTGAAATGTAATTTCTATGTACATGACAATCAAAAGGAATCTTTTGAAAACATCTTGTTGTCCTCATTTTACTTAATGTACAAATATTTAGTGTATACTGAAACAGGAGGTCGGCAGATATCAAACTGGTAACCAAAGAAAGACACAATTTGGGATAAAAGGTCATTTTGCTAAATGTGGATTCACGTTAAAGTATAGAACTTATGTTGCTGGAAACAATTCTTAAAGAAGAAATAGATTAGAAACAAAATGGTGAGCTATAGAAGAAACCCACAGCCATTCTCATTCTTGTCAGAGAGATGGGAAGAGGAACACGTCATAAACACGATAGATAAGAATTCCAAGGATTCCCAGCCAAGAAGTGAGTTTTCACTCTCACTCACAAACCCTTTCCCACGTAACTCCACTTAATGCTTCGGCATAATCGTGCAGGTGAGGTGAGAGATCCTTTTGAAGCATTCAAGGTCTCTTCAAAATGTAAGGTAGTAAGTCTTTGAAGGCAGGAAAGGGGCATCAAGCTGGACAAGTTGAGAGAAACCCATCCACACTCTGGATTCTCAGCTCTGTGACTAGGAGTGGGGTAAGGGAGTGGAGAGGAACTCTCCTTGAGCCATGTGTGGCCTCTACCCAGAGTGTAAAGCAGCTTCCCTGACAGAATTGGGACAGAGAAATAGGAGACAGAAGGAGAGGGAGAAGGAGAAGGAGAAGGAGAGGGGAGTGCAGAGTGGGCAGGAGGAGAAGGGGAGGAAGAGAGGAAGATACACCAAAATTCAGAGTCAGATGAGAAAGTAAAGTTAATTACCCAATGACCAAAAAGCTGGAAGCTAAGTTGTAAAGCAGAGATAGCTCTCCCAAGGATTTCGAAGGTTGGTGGCACCACTGTGAAGTACTAAGAGGTCTCTGGAATGTTGTCAGTGATAAGGTGCCCAGAATGTCTAAAGAGAAAATAACTATAATAAAAATGCTGAAGGTTTCAGTGGAAAAGATGGGCAACATAGTGAAGAGATGAGGAATTTCAGCCAAGATATAGAAATGATAAAAAAGGAACAAAATGGAAATGCTAGAAATAAAACAAAAATCAAGAATAAAGAAATAATTGGAGGAGTTTGAGACCAGCCTGGCCAACATGGCAAAACCCCATCTCTACTAAAAATACAAAAATTAGCCATTAGCTGGGCATGGTGGCACGTGCCTGTAGTCCCAGCTACACGTGAGGCTGAGGCAGGAGAATCAACTTGAATCTGGGAGGCGGAGGTTGCAGTGAGCTGAGATTGCGCCACTGCACTTCCAGCCTGGGCAACAAGAGTAAAACTCCGTCTCAAAAAAAAAAAAAAAAAAAGAGAGAGAGAGAGAAATAATTGGGCCTGGGCATGGTGGCTCATGCCTGTAATCTCAGCACTTTGGGAAGCCAAGGTGCGAGAATTGCTTGAGGCCAGCAGTTTGAGGCAGCAGTGAGTTTTGATTGTGGCATTGCACTCCAGCCTGGGTGGCAGAGTGAGACCCTGTCTGAAAAAAACTCAGATGCACTTACCAAGAAGCTGGAAAAAGCAGAGGAAAAAAGCAGTGAACATACAAGTGTATACAAGCTGAAATACAAAGGAAAAAACAGTGAAAAAATAACGAGCAGGTCATCTGAGATCTATGAGACAATATTAAATGGTCTCATACAGGTGTTTTTGGAATCCTAGTAGGAAAGGAAAAAGAAAATGAGGTTGAAGAAACATCTGAAGAGAAAATAGCCATTGACATTCCAAGATTAATGAAAGACATAAACCCAGAAATCCAAGAAACTCAATTGAACCTCAAGTAGGATAAATACAAAGGAAATAACATCTAGGCACATAGTAAAACTGCTGAAAACCAGAAAGAAATTTTCCAAGAACCTGGGAGATTTTATATATATATATATATATATATATATATATATATATATATATATATATATGAATATTTCAAATAAAATTATATATACATATATATAAATAAATATATAAAAGAATAAAATACTTAGGAATAAATTTGACCAAGAAGGTAAAAAATCTGTACACTGGAAACTATAAGATATTAATGAAGGAAACTGAAGAAACACATATAAATGGAAAGATATCTCATATTCTTAAATTGGAATAATTACTATTGTTAAAATGTCCATAATAATACCACCTTCTATAGACTCTGATTAACAGAGTCAATGTAATCTCTATCAAAATTCCAAGGGCATTTTTCACAGAAATAGAAAAAACAATCCTAAAATTCATATGGAACCATGAAAGACCCTGAGGAGCCAAAGCAATCTCGAAGAAGAACAAAGTTTAAAGCATCATAGTTCCTCATTTCAAACTACATTACAAAGCTATAGCAATCAAAACAGTGTAGTACTTGCTGAAAAATAGACACATAGGCCAACAGAACAGAATAGAGAATCCAGAAGTAAACCCATGCATATATAGCCAACTAATCTTTCTTAATAATGCAAAGAACACAATCCAGATAGAAGAGTCTCTTCAATAAGTGGTGTGGAGAAAAACAGGATATCCACATGTAAAAAAAAAATTCTTTTATGCTGTAATTAATAAAATTGCTTTCTTACTTTCTCTTTTGTATAGCTTGTTGTTAGTGTATAGAAATGCAACTAATTTTTTTATGTTGATTTTGTAACCTGCAGCTTTACTAAATTTATTTGTTAGTTCTAACAGTTTGGGGAAAAAAAGAGAAAGAAAAGGAAAAAAGAAGGTATAAAAATTGAAATTGTACTAGTTATTAAAATTAACTCAAAATGGATTAAAAACTTAATGTAATATCTGAAACTCTCAAATTCCTAGAAGAAAACACAATAAACCACCTTGACATTGGTCGATATGGTCTGGATCTGTTTCCCCTCCCAAATTTCATGTTGCATGTTATAACTTCTTCCAGTGTTTTACTTTTAGTCCACCTATCTCCTTATATTTAAAGTGGGCTTCTAAATAAAAATGTATAATTTGGTCTTTTAAAAAAAAATCCAATCTGACAATCTCTGCCTTTTAATTAGTGGTTTTAGACCATTTAGATTTAATGTAATTATTGTTGTGTTTAGACTGAGTTATACATTTTATTTTCTATTGTATCCTCAGGGTTTTGTTCCTCTATTTCCCTTTTCTGCCTTCTTTTGGATTTTATAATTTTTTTCATATTTCATTTTAGTTCATTGAATTTTTTACTCTATCTTGTATAAATTTTTTTAGTGGTTGCTATCAGGGTTACAATACATCCACTTAAATTTATATATATATATTCTTTAGAGAAAGTGTCTCATTCTGTCACCCAAGCTAGAGTGTAATGGTGTGATCACAGCTCACTGCAGCCTTGAACTCCTGGGCTCAAGCAACCTTCCCACTTCAGCATTCCAAGTAGCTGGGACTACAGGTGTAGGCCACCTCACCAGATTAACTTTTTAAATTTTTTATTTGTAGAGAACAGGATTTTGCTTTGTTGCCCAGGCTGGTCTCAAACTCCTGGCTTTTAGCAATCCTCCTGCCTTGGCCTCCCAAACTGCTGAGATTACAGGTGTGAACTATTCTACTCAGCCTTATCAGTGTTTTGTAGTCTTCCTTGCAGAGATCTTTCACATCCTTTGTTAAATTTATTCCCAGTTTTTTTGGTAGGTATTGTAAATAGGAGTGCTTTCTTGATTTATTTTCCAGCTATTTCATTATTAGTGTATAGAAATGCTGCTGATTTTTGTATGCTGATTTTATATCCTTCAACTTTACTGAATTTATCATTTCCAAGAAATTTTTTGTGGAGTCTTTAGGTTTTTCTAAATATAAGATCATATTATCTGCAAAAAGGGACAGTTTGAATTCCTCTTTTCCAATTTAAATGCCTTTTATTTCTTTCTCTTTACTGATTGCTCTGGCTAGGACCTCCAGTACTAAGTTGAATACGAGTGGTGAGGGTGGGAATCCTTGTCTTGTTTCAGTTCTTACAGGAAAGGCTTTAAACTTTAAACTTATATACTCAGTATGATGTTTACCTGTGGGTTTATTATATATGGCTTTTATAATTTTGAGGTATGTTCCTTCTATGCCTAGTTTGATTTTTTTTTTTTTTTTTGGGATGGAGTCTCGCTATGTCACCAGGCTGGAGTCAGTGTTACAATCTTGGCTCACTGTAACCTCTGCCTCCCGGGTTCAAGCAATTCTCCTGCCTCAGCCTCCCAAGTAGCTGGGACTACAGGCGTGTGCCACCACACCCAGCTGATTTTTGTATTTTTAGTAGAGATGGGGTTACACCATATTGGCCAGGCTGGTCTCGAACTCCTGACCTCATGATCTGCCCTCCTCGGCCTCCCAAAGTGCTGGGATTTCAGGTGTGAGCCACTGTGCCTGGCCAGTTTGTTGAATTTTTATCATGAAGGGATGTTGAATTTATCACATGCTTTTTCTGTATCTATTGAGAGGATCATATGGTGTTTGTCCTTCATTCTGTGGATGTGATGTAACACGCTTATTGATTTGTGTATGTCAAATTATCCTTACATTGCTGGTATAAATCCCATGGTGTGTTCTGGTTTTGATGTGCTATTTGATTCAGTTTGCTAGAATTTTTTTTGAGGGTTTTTGTGTTTTATGTGCATCAGGAATATTGGCCTGTAAGTTTTCTTTTTTTGTGTTGTGTTCTTCTCTGGTTTTGGTATCAGGGTAAGGGTGGTCTTGTAGAATGAGTTAGGGATAATTCCCTCCTCTTCAATTTTACAACTTAATAGTTAAAAAAAATCCCATTTAAAAGTGGGCAAAGGTCATGAACAGATATTTCTCAAAAGATATACAAATGGCCAACAGGTATGTGAAAAAACAGTTAACATCACTAACCATCAGGGAAATGTAAATCAAAACCACAATGAGATATCATTTTACCCTGTTGAATGGCTATTATTGTTATTTTTTATTTTCTAAATTTTATTTTATTTTTAGAGATGGGGTCTCACCATGTTGCCCTGGCTGGGGTCTCACCATGTTGCCCAGGCTGGTCTCTAACGCCTAGGCTCAAGTAATCATCCCACCTTGGCCTCCCGAAGTGCTGCAACTACAGGTGTGAGCCACCCTGCCCAGCCTGGCAATTATTAAAATGACAAAAATAGATAAATAAATAACAGATGCTGGCAAGGAGGCAGAGAAAAGGAAGCTCATATACCCTGTTGGTGGGAATGTAAATTAGTACGACCGCTATGAAAAACAGTATGGAGGGTTCTCAAAAAACTAAATATATAACTACCATACAATCCAGCATTCCCACTACCGGGTATTTATCAAAAGGGAAAGAAATCAGTAAAATCAGTATATCAAAGGGACACCTGTACTCGCAGGTTTATTGCAACACTATTCACAATAGCAAAGACATGGAATCAACATAAGTGTACATCAATGGATGAGTGGATAAAGAAAATGGGTTATATATACCCAATGGAATACCATTTGGCCATAAAAATAACAAAATCATGTTTGCAGCAATATGGATGGAACTGGAGGTCATTATTGTAAAGTGAAATAAGCCAGGCACAGAAAGACAAATACTACATGTTCTCACTCATATGTGGAAGGTAAAAACCATGATCTCAAGAAAACAGAATGGAATGATAGATATTAGAGTCTGGGAAGGAGAGGGGTGCGTGGGAGGGAGTATAAAGAGAGGCTGGTTAATACGTACAAATATACAGTTAAATAGAAGAATAAGTTCTAATGTTTTATATCTAACTAACATACAGTTCGATAGAAGAAATAAGTTCTAGTGTTTCTAGTCTGTCTATAGTCAGACCAGGGTATCTACACTTAGCAACTATATATATATGTATGTGTGTGTGTGTGTGTGTGTGTGTGTGTGTGTGTGTGTGTGTATTTTTTTTTTTTTTTTTTTTTGAGACGGGGTCTCGCTCTGTCGCCCAGGCTGGAGTGCAGTGGCACGATCTCGGCTCACTGCAAGCTCCGCCTCCCGGGTTCACGCCATTCTCCCACCTCAGCCTCCCGAGTAGCTGAGACACCCACCACTACAGGCACTGTAGGCACCCACCTACAGGCACCCACCACTGCGCCCAGCTAATTTTTTGTATTTTTAGTAGAGACGGGGTTTCACCATGGTCTCCATCTCCTGACATTGTGATCTGCCCGCCTCGGCCTCCCAAAGTGCTGTGATTACAGGTGTGAGCCACCGCGCCCGGCCAGCAACAATATTTTTAACATTTCAAAGTAACTAGGAGAGAGGAAATGATACCAACACATAGACACAGTAAACACTGAAGGAGACGGATACCCCGAAGACCCTGACTTGATCATTACACTTTCTATGCAGGTAACAAAAACTCATTATTCATTTTGGGCAGCTCATATAATCTTTGTTTGGGGAAAATAATTTTTGGGTCTTTTGCCCATATCAAGGTAAAACAAAGCTCTCATGACTGAACTACATAATAACATACAAGATTAATTTTATTTTTAGTTGTTGGGGGTGTATCTCTACTGTAAAGAGGTCTCTGAGAAGTTGAGTTAGAGCTGTTTACAGCCTTAGATAAAACAACTGGGCAAAGAGCTGCATAGTAAGTCTCTGTTTATCACTGAGTAAATGGTATGGTAAATACCTTTGTAAAATATAAATATATTTATAAAATATAAAATATCTTTTACTAACCTTTAATAAATAATTGACCCAACACCATTTTCTTGATGAAATGCCAGTAATTCCACCATCAGGAAGATTTACAATTCCTCCCAGTCTTATAAATCCACGAAAACTCTTTATGTAAAGAACACCATTTATAAGAAAAACGATTCCATCCCGCGATAAGATCACATGAGCCACACTCCGTCTTTCATCATCACTCAGAATGTCTGGAGGCACTCTGATTCTGGTCCAAGATTTGAATGAATCAGTTGTGTGAAAGGTCTCCATATCTGTCACCAAAACAGCAGATGCAACTACACAAGCATCCCAGGAAGCCATTAATTGACTACCACGTGGTGAGGAGATTGGTAAATAACCAGGAATTTCAGGTATGGTCAACAAAGGAAAAGTCAACAGAATAAGAAAATCTGCAATAAAGCAATCCTGAAAAGTAACTTGGTTTCCTCTAATCTCCTTTAGTGCATCATCTTTTGTCATTGGTACTACAATACGCCAGGTCCTAAGAAGAGAAAGAAAAGAGAATAAAATGATCTCTCTCTCATCTGATCCATCTTGTACAGTTGATATCTATCATCTTTAAAACATTTTTAATTTTTATCAATACAAATCTGGATAAGACAAATAATATTAAAATGCAACCACTGCCACATTGTCATTCTTCACTCTGGTCCCAAAGGAACACAATCTTGACTCTTGCAGCTGTTTCTGTCTCTGTATTCTCAAGTAAAGATTCTTTTTTTTTTTTTTTTTTTTTTTGGAGACAGAGTGTCTCTCTGTCGCCCAGGCTGGAGTGCAGTGGTGCGATCTGGGCTCGCTGCGAGCTCTGCCTCTCGGGCTCATGCCATTCTCCTGCCTCAACCTCCTGAGTAGCTGGGATTACAGGCACCCACCACCACGCCTGGCTAATTCTTTGTATTTTTAGTAGAGATGGGGTTTCACCGTGTTAGCCAGGATGGTCTCAATCTCCTGACCTCGTGATCCGCCCGCCTCGGCCTCCCAAAGTGCTGGGATTACAGGCGTGAGCCACCGCGCCTGGCCTCAAGTAAACATTCTTATATGCTCTTTCTTAATACATAATTTTTATACATTATCTATTACCTTCTTTTTTCTCTTTTATTACTGCTGCTTGTGGAGCAGGGCTAACTCCTAGGCAGTGTACCCAGAGCCAGCCCTATTGCCTTCTTATATGGCAGATGAAGATGTATCTCTCATGTACCATGCCTACTTATACATCTTCTCTCCACCTCTCAAATTAGTTATATTAACTTTTTAGTTAAATGAATAGAGTGTTTATATTGTTTAGATTTACTGTGTAAATACTGCTTACTATTGAACCAGTTCTACTATGAGTATGTTTTCTTCTCTCTACATACATACATATACATAAATTTTCCTGGAGTTAATACTTGTTTTGTTTAAAATTTTTGGTTAGTTTTCCAGAAGGTAGTTAAAATAGCATTTTATAATATTTTCCATGTGATAAAGGCAGAGATAATCCAGTACTTGTTTCCTGGGGTTTCCCTTCATTACTGTCTCTCTTAGCCGCCATTTACAGGATCTCATGCTTTGATCTTTTCTGTTATGCTAAAGCACATTCTTTAGCACCTTCCTGTGAAAGGATGTATAAACATACATTTTTTGAGACCCTGAATATCTGAAAAGAGCTTTATTTTACACACCTGATGAATAACAGGTTAGGGGGAGGGCATTTTCTCCTGTCCTTTGATAATCAGAATCACTAATGAGAAAGTCAGGTGATAGATTCATTTTTATTATTTAAATGGTTGTCCTGTAAGTTTTTGGGATCTTTCTTTTTTCTTGCTAACCTAAAATTTGACAGGGCAGAGTCTATCTTTTGAAGTGGGAACATGGAGTAATTTATAAAAGCAAACACTCTGACATATCTTAGAAGTACTGAACATTTCTGAGCAGAGTTTCTCAGCTGGACAATCCAAATGACAGCAGGTTGAAAGATGTTCAGTCAGCACTGCTTGAGTCACTCATTTTCTTAATGAATACATACTTGGGTTGGTGATGATAACACTGTGCCCACTCAGCAGGACCCAGGTGAAGCGGACCTCAAGTTAGGGCAGTTGTAGAACTGTCACCAAACCTCTTATGCCTTAAACCATGCCAAAAAGAAACTCAGTGTAATTTCCACTTTTTGCAAGCCACATCACCTGGCTCTAACATTGGTTCCAATTACAATTTCTTAAATCACAGTATCATTTTGCTACATTGTCCACTGATTATATAATAACCTCACATATGCAGACACCTTGTAACTAGACATTTATGACTGTTTTGTTTGAATGGACAATTGGTTATCTACAGGCATAAACAGGACGGGACAGGGCAAACTGCTCTTTTTCAATTTTCCTTATCAATCATTTTGTTTCAAATTTTAATTTTTAAAACTGTGACTATACGCTTTTCAGAAATTTTTTGGCTTTCCACTGTATAGCATCCTAGTATATATAGTCTCTTATTTTTGTGAAGATGCTATTCATATTAGTAAGTGTTCTCCAGAGAATAGACTAGGATATATAGAAATAGACAAAGATTTATTATGAGTGGTTGCCTTTCACATGATTATGGAAGCTGAGAAGTCCCATGATTTGCTGTCTACTAGATTGGAGGCCCAGTAAAGCCAGTGGTGTAGTTCCAGTCCAAGTCCAAAGGTGTGAGAACCAGGAGAACCAACAGAGTAAGTCTCAGTCTCAGTCCAGAGACCCCAAAACTGGGGTGCCAGTGGTGTGAGTCCTGGTCCAAGTCTGAAGGCTTGAGAAGCAGGAATGCCAATGTCTGAGTGCAGGAGAAGATGGATGTTGCAACTCAAGAAGACAGCGTGCATTCGCTCTTCTTTTGCCCTTTCGTCCTTTTCAAGCCCTCAGTGGACTGCGTGATGCCCAACCACACTGGGGAGGGTTATCTTCTTTACTCAGTCTACCAATTCAAATGCTAATCTCTTCCAGAAATACTCTCACAGACACACCCAGAAATAATGTTTTACCAGCTATCCGGGCATCCCCTAGCCCAGTAAAGTTGATGCATACAACTAACCATTACAAGTCCATTCCTTGTCAACTTGGCACCCATAAGCATCTCAAAGTATCTCCAAATAAAGACAATAACAAGGTCATAATTGTACCTAACATGGTACAACTATCCTGCACAACAACTGAAAATGCACTACTCTTTTCTCCAGAAGAGGAGGTTAAAGTCCTTGAGTGATGTTTACTCTTCTCCCAATATTCTGTAACTTAAATTATATGGTAAAAAGTTAACAATACTTAAATACAAAGTTAATACATGTTATGTTACACAATAAGGGGATAAGAGAGGAAGGAAACAAATATATTTGTTTAATATATGTGTGTGTGTCTATATATATATATAGACATACACACAAATGTATTCTTAACAAAATAAGGAGGAAATACTCATGACAATTACATTCCTCATTTATGTAACTGGTTATGTGGTTATAGGCTGGTATTTATAGCTGACTTCCTCTGCTACCCATTGTGTATTACTTTTGCCTTCTGTGAGAACCTCAGCTGGTCATGGTTCTTTACCTGAGGGATAACTCAAATCTCCATTCCTAAAGTGTCTGGGCCATTTGTAGTTTTGGCTGGAATGGGTTCTTATAGTTTTCCATTGGCCTTAATCACAGAGCATGGTAATACTAGGAGATGCATAAGGGATCTCCTGTATTTCAGACATAGTCTGCCTTATCTCCATTGTGGAATAGTAGTCCAGCTTCCCCTCGGTAGTCTGGATAAATCACTCCAGCAAATACAGTATCTCCTGTCTTTGCCTGTTGACTCAGAGCCATGAGGAGCCCAAAGTGGTGAGGTGGTAGGCCAGCAGAGCATGAAGTCCTGGGAACAGGAGGCACAAATTTGCTAATAGGTCTCTAGGGATAATAGTGAGTGGTGCCACTCCCATTTCCACCCAGACTCCTGGAGTTGAGAATCCTGGCAATCAGAAAAACAACACCATATATTAGGCATGATTCAGAGCATATACAGCCTTCTGGGGAACCTTGCTCAGCCGTTCAAGGTATTGCCACCTGGGGTCACTGTAATTGAGTTTTCAAAAGACTGTTTCACTATTCTATCATGCCAGCTGGAGAACATGGTAAGACCAGTGAATTCCAGGAGCATGGATCCAGTGCTGTCTTCTCTTGCTTTGAAAAGAAATGCTTTGTGAAATACCATGAGAGTGGATAAGATATTCTGTAAGTCCATGGATGATAATTATGGCAGAAGGATTATGTGTAGGGAAGACAAATTCATATCCAAAGTAAGTGTCTATTCCAGTAAGAACAAAACACTGCACTTCCATGATGGAAATGGTTCAGTGTAGTCAGCCTGCCACCAGGTAGCTGGCTAATCACCACACAGAATGATGTCATATTGGGGGTCCACTGTTCATATCTGCTGCTGGCAGACTGGGTACTCAGAGATGGCCATAGCCAGGTCAGCCTTGGTCAGTGGAAGTCCATGTTGCTGAGCCCATGAATAACCTCAATTTCTGCTACCATGGCTACTTTCTTTCATGCGTGCATTGGGTGATGACAATGGTGGCTGGAGAAACAGGCTGACTGGAATCCACAGAATGGGTCATCCTATCCATTTAATTGTTAAATCTTCTTCTGCTGACATCACTCTTCAGTGATCATTCAGATGGGATACAAATATCTTCACAATTTTTGCACATTCAGAAAGGTTTATCTGCATACTTCTTCCCCATATTTATTCGTCACCAATTTTCCAATCATGTTCTTTTGAAGTACCTAATCATCCAGCCAAACCATTGGCTGCAGCCCATGAATTGGTATATAATAGCATGTCTGGTCATTTCTTCTTCTTCCATCCCTTTACTTTCAGTTTATGTGTGTCCTCACAGGTGAAGTGGCAGCTTGTAATTGGGTCTTATTTTTCAGTCCAATCAGCCACTCTATGTCTTTCGAGAATTTAATCCACTTACATTCAATGTAATTCTACTTCCATTTTAAAATTGTTTTTTAGTTGTTTTATAGATCTTTTCTTCCTGTTTTACTATCTTTCTTTTGGCTAAGAGATGTTCTCTAGTAGTATGATTTTATTCCTTCCCTTTTATTTTTGTGAATCTATTACAGGTTTTTGCTTTGTGGTTACCATGAGGCTTACACATAACATCTTATAGTTATAATAGGTTATTTTGAGCTAATAACAACTTAACTTAGATTGAAATTTTTCTATATTTTACTCTACTCTTCCTCACAATTTACAATTTACATCTTTTTATATTGCATATACCTTAACAAATTATTGTGGTTGTTATTTTTAATAGTTTTGGCTTTTAACCTTTATACAGTAAGTGATTTACAAACCATCATTACAGTATGAGAATATTCTAAATTTGACTTATTTTTGCCACTGGTTTTATACTTTCAGATGTTTTCATATTACTCATTAGCATCCTTTTCTTTCAGCTCAATGCACTCCTTTTAGTATTTCTTGTAAGACAGGTCTAGTGGTGATAAACTCCCTCAGATTTTGTTTGCCTGTGAAAATCTTCATTTTTGAAGGATGGCCTGCCGAGCACAGTATTCTTGGTTGGCATTTTTTTTATTTAGCACTTTGAATATGAATATATCATCCCATTCCCTTCTTGCCTGTAAGACTTCTGCTGAGAAGTCTGATGCTAGGTGTATTGGAACTCCCTCATATGTTATTTGCTTCTTTTCTCTTGTTGCTTTCAGGATCCTCTCTTTGTCTTTCATCTTTGACAATTTGATTACAATAAGTCTTGGGGTAGTCTTATTTGGATTGAATCTGACTGATGACCTTTAATCTTTATGTACCTGGATAATTATAATTTTCTGCAGGTTTCAAAAGTTTCCTATTTCTTTAAATAAACTTTCTACCCCACTATATTTCTCTACTCCCTCTTAAACCCCAATGACGTAAGCATTTGCTATTTTGATGCTGTTCCATAAATCCCACTGGCTTTCTTCATTCCTTTCATTCTTTTTTTCCATCATAACTGTATATTTTCAAGTAATCTGTCTTCAGGTTCACAGATATTTTCTTCTCCTTGATCAACTGGCTGTTGATGCTCTCTATTGCATTTTTCACTTTGTTCACTTATTTTTCAGCACTTGCATTTTTGTTTGATTAAAAAAATCAATCTCTGTTAAATTTATCATTCTGATCATGTATTGTTTTCTCATTTTGTTGAACTGTTTCTCTGTATTTTCTTGAAGTGCACTGAGCTTCCTTAAAACAGTTATGTTGAATTATTTGTCAGACAGTTCATACATCTCTATCTCTTTAGGGCCAGTCATTGGCACTTTATTTTGTCCATTTGGGGACACCATATTTCCCTGATTTTTCTTGATCTTTCTGGTCATGCATTGATATCTGTGCATTGAAGTAGTAGATATTTATTCCAATCTTCACAGTATAGTTTTGTCTGGGAAAACAATTCAACAGTAAGCCTGTCCAGAGATTCTAGGTGGGTCAGCTGGTGTGGCCCACAAACCTATGACCATGGCAGCCACTGAAACACTGGGGGGCACCTTAAGCCCAGGACCATCACAGTTGGTACAGCACCAAGCTGGAAACTCTTGGCCACTGAAGATGGTGTAGTGATGGGGTGCATCTGAAGTCCACAGCCTCTAAGATCTGCCTGCTGCTGAGGTTTCTCCAAAACCCAAGGCCTCTGTAGTCAGCTGGCAGTGATGCAGGCCAGAGATTGGGTCAATTCCCCTTAGCATTCTGCTTCAGGGGTGCCCAGAAAGGGTCTATGTTCCTATAGCTGTCCACTTTTTGGTGCTGCTGCATAGCATGCAAAGCCATCTGTAAACCAGGCCCAAATCTTCTTTTCCTCTGTTAACTCATTGTAGGGAATGCCCCATGAGACCATAGGTGCAAATGGGGAGAAAGAAGACAGTGTAGCAGTAGTAGGAACCATGCAAATTTGGGCCACTTCCCCTAAAATTTACTTGTCACTTGAGGGCCTGTTAGGGCCCAATCATGTATATACCACTTCAATCTGATAATGGAGTATTGTGTTGCTGTGCATGTCCAACATTATGACTCACTGGGTCAAGTAACAGTTCATGATGGACAGCTAGGGTTGCATGGTAACTTGTTGGCCCATGATCAAGCATTCGGTCTCTGCTAAAGCCCAATAGTAGGCCAAGAATTGTCTCCTAAAAGGAGAATAGTTATCCAAGGATGATGAAAGGGCCTTTCTCCAAAATACAAAAGGAGTGTGGTTCAATTTACCTATAAGGGCCTGCCAAAGGCTCTACATAGCATCCCTATCTGCCACTGACATCTGCTAGATCAAATGGCCCAAGTGGCAGAGCAGTCTGCACAGCAGCCTAGACTTATTCTAGAGCCTTCTCTTATCCTGGGTCCCACTGAAAACTCACAGCTTTTTGGGCTACCTGGGAAATGGCCCAGCATAACAATCCCAAATGAGGAATATGTTGCCTCCAAAATCCAAAGAGGCCCATTAGGCATTGTGCCTCTTTCTTGGTTATAGGAGGGGCCAGATGCAAACAAATTAACCTCACCTTAGAAGGGATATCCTGATAGGTCTCATGCCACTGGACTGCAAGAAATTTCACTGAGGTAGAAGGCCCCATATTTGAGTTGGATTTTTTCTTCACTCTTTAGCTTGTGAATGTCCTACCGATATATCTAGGGTCACTGCCACTTTTGCTCACTATGTCCAATCAACATAATGTCATCAATATAATGGACCAGTGTGATATCTTATGAAAGGGAAAGGTGACCAAGATGCTTCCAAACTAAATTATGACATAGGGCTGGAGAATTGATATACCCTTGAGGTAGGACATTGAAGGTGTATTGCTGGCCTTGCCCATGGAAGGTAAACTGTTTCTGTTGGGCCTCATAGACAGGGATGGAAAAAAAAGCATTTGCCAGATCAATAACTGCAAAACATGTAGCAAGGAATGTGTTAATTTGCTCAAGCAATGAAACACATCTGGTACAGCAGCTGCAATTGGAATTACTGCCTGGTTAAGCATATGACAACCCACTGTCCACTGATCCATCTGTCTTCTGCACCAGCCACATAGATAAGTTGAATAGGGACGTGGAAATCATACCATCCCTGCATCTTCTAGTTTCTTGATGGTGGCACTAGTCTTTGCAATGCCTCCAGGAATTCAGCACTGCTTTTGATTTACTATTTTCCAAGGTAGAGGCAGTGCTAATGGCTTCCACATGGCCTTACTCACCATAATTATCCTCACTTCACAGGACAGGAACTAATATGGGGATTCTGTCAGCTGCTAAGTATTATCCCAAGTATACATCCTAGAACTGAAGGAAGAATCACAGCATGGGTTTGGAGACCACTGGATTCACAGTGAGATAGGCCTAAGTTAAAACTCCATTGATCATCTAACCTCCATAAGCCCGCATTCTGATAGAGGCCCATGGTGACATTTTGGATCTCCTGGAATCAGTGTCAGTTCAGAGCCAGTGGCCAGTAATCTGTGAAATGTCTGATATTTCCTTTTTTCCCCAATGTACAGTTACCCTGGTTAGAGGCCACAGGTCCCTTTGAGGTAGGCTGGGAAAAAGATTAACAACATAAATTTTTATGGTGTATAAAGGTCCTTCCTGAAGAGGATGCAGCCACCTCTTTATTTAAGGGCTTTTGGGTCTATAGACAGGCTCAAGTCTGCTACACACTTTTTTTTTTTTTTTTTTTGTATATTTTGTGTGAAGTTTTCTTTTGCTCCCTGCTTTGTGCTGTTTCTTCTGATTTCCATTTTTCTGGTATTGAGTTAGGTATCTGACTTTCATGTTGTAGGCTTTCTGTAATTTTCTGGTGGTCCTTCACTGTACACTAATATTTAAGAGAGGAGCCATGACAAGGTGTGAGTTAGCTTTATCACTGAGCATATGACACCTCTTGCTTCCATTGTGACCCACTATGTTTCTCCCCTCACCTCATAATATAAGTTCTTTTAAGTAGGTCTGATCAGTTAATCCAAAGAAGAATCCTCTCTTATCTTGTCAAGAGGATATATATTTCCATATTTAGGGAGGAGGGCTGGAAAAAAGGGCTGAATGCACACTGGGGAGTTCCTACCATATTACTATTTTATTTTTATTTTGTATATATATAAATATATATATATATTTAAAATAAAATTTAAAATAAAGATAAAATACATATATATTACTGTTATTGACTATAATCACCCTGATACACAATAATCTGACAACTTACTCCTCCTGTAAATCTGAACTTTTGTACCCTTTGATTAATACTTCCTCCTTTTCACACCCTCCCCCACCTTAGCTCTGGTAACCATCATTCTACTCTCTACTTCTACGAGGTCAACTTTTTTAGCGTTTTCATATAAGTGAGATCATACAGTATCTGTCCTTCTATGCCTGGCTCATTTCACTTAGTGTTATGTCCTTCGGGTTTCCCTATGTTGTTGCACGTGACAGAATTTCCTTCTTTTTAGAAGGCTGAATAGTATTCCACTGTGTGTATATATATATCACATCTTCTTTATCCATGCATCTTCTGATGGACACATAGGTTGTTTCCATATCTCAGCTATTGTGAATCAGTGAACACGGGAATGCAGATTATCCCTTCCACAGATTGATTTCCATTCCTTTGGATACACACTTAGAAGTGGGATGGCTGGATCCCACTGGTAGCTGTAGTGGATTGCTGGTAATTCTATTTTGAGTTTTTTGAGAAACTTCCATACCATTTCCCATAATGGCTATATTAAATTATATTCCCAACAACAACGTACCAGGGATACTTTTTATCCACATCTTTACCAATACTTCTTATCTTTTGTCTTTTTGATAAAAGTCACTCTAATAGGTATGAGGTGATACCTCATTGTGCTTTTAATTTGCATTTCCCTAATGATTAGAGATGCTGCACTTTTTTTCACATACCTATTGTATTGTTGTTTGGAATCTGTAGTTGGGCAGGGCTGCATGCTGGGATCTAAGGCTAGGTGAGGTCTACAAAGTGGACAGGGCCAGAGGCTATGCTCCACACATATGCATTGGCTGAGCTTATCTTTAGATCCAGGGTAGTCTTATACACCATGGTATACTATGCAGCCATAAAAAAGAATAAAATATGTCCTTTACAGCAACATAAAGGAAGCTGGATGCCATTATCTTAAGTGAAATAACTCAGAAACAGAAAATCAAATACTGCATGTTCTCACTTATAAGTAAGTGGGAGCTAAACAACAGGTACACAAGGACATAAAGATGGAAATAATAGACAGTGGGGACTCCAAAAAGGGACAGGGTGGGAGGGGAGTGAGGGTTAAAAAATTACCTATTGAGTACAATGTTCACTATTTGGGTAATGGGTACACTAGATGCCCAAATATCACCATTACTCAATATATCCGTGTAACAAACCTACACACATACACCTTGAATCTAAAATTTAAAAACAGAAAAGCACAGCATCAAGGCGTGGTAGAGTCGCCACTCAGCTGTTGGTGTTGTGTGAGGCCAGATACTCCCTATGCAGCTAAATGCTGACCTACACTTGCCTCCTGGTATGGGGAAGGCTTCAGGAAAGCACCAGGGCTTGGTTGGAACACTGCTCTACTTTTTTTTTTTTTTTTATACTTTATGTTTTAGGGTACATGTGCACAATGTGCAGGTTTGTTACATATGTATACATGTGCCATGCTGGTGCGCTGCACCCATTAACTCATCACCTAGCATTAGGTATATCTCCCAATGCTATCCCTCCCCCCTCCCCCCACCCCACAACAGTCCCCAGAGTGTGACGTTCCCCTTCCTGTGTCCATGTGTTCTCATTGTTCAATTCCCACCTATGAGTGAGAATATGCGGTGTTTGGTTTTTTGTTCTTGCGATAGTTTACTGAGAATGATGATTTCCAATTTCATCCATGTCCCTACAAAGGACATGAACTCATCATTTTTTATGGCTGCATAGTATTCCATGGTGTATATGTGCCACATTTTCTTAATCCAGTCTATCATCGTTGGACATTTGGGTTGGTTCCAAGTCTTTGCTATTGTGAATAGTGCCGCAATAAACATACGTGTGCACGTGTCTTTATAGCAGCATGATTTATAGTCCTTTGGGTATATACCCAGTAATGGGATGGCTGGGTCAAATGGTATTTCTAGTTCTAGATCCCTGAGGAATCGCCACACTGACTTCCACAATGGTTCAACTAGTTTACAGTCCCATCAACAGTGTAAAAGTGTTCCTATTTCTCCACATCCTCTCCAGCACCTGTTGTTTCCTGACTTTTTAATGATTGCCATTCTAACTGGTGTGAGATGGTATCTCACTGTGGTTTTGATTTGCATTTCTCTGATGGCCAGTGATGGTGAGCATTTTTTCATGTGTTTTTTGGCTGCATAAATGTCTTCTTTTGAGAAGTGCCTGTTCATGTCCTTCGCCCACTTTTTGATGGGGTTGTTTGTTTTTTTCTTGTAAATTTGTTTGAGTTCATTGTAGATTCTGGATATTAGCCCTTTGTCAGATGAGTAAGTTGTGAAAATTTTCTCCCATTTTGTAGGTTGCCTGTTCACTCTGATGGTAGTTTCTTTTGCTGTGCAGAAGCTCTTTAGTTTAATTACATCCCATTTGTCAATTTTGTCTTTTGTTGCCATTGCTTTTGGTGTTTTAGACATGAAGTCCTTGCCCATGCCTATGTCCTGAATGGTAATGCCTAGGTTTTCTTCCAGGGTTTTTATGGTTTTAGGTCTAATGTTTAAGTCTTTAATCCATCTTGAATTGATTTTTGTATAAGGTGTAAGGAAGGGATCCAGTTTCAGCTTTCTACATATGGCTAGCCAGTTTTCCCAGCACCATTTATTAAATAGGGAATCCTTTCCCCATTGCTTGTTTTTCTCAGGTTTGTCAAAGATCAGATAGTTGTAGATATGCAGCGTTATTTCTGAGGGCTCTGTTATGTTCCATTGATCTATATCTCTGTTTTGGTAGCTGTACCATGCTGTTTTGGTTACTGTAGCCTTGTAGTATAGTTTGAAGTCAGGTAGTGTGATGCCTCCAGCTTTGTTCTTTTGGCTTAGGATTGACTTGGCGATGCAGGCTCTTTTTTGGTTCCATATGAACTTTAAAGTAGTTTTTTCCAATTCTGTGAAGAAAGTCATTGGTAGCTTGATGGGGATGGCACCTGAATCTATAAATTACCTTGGGCAGTATGGCCATTTTCATGATATTGATTCTTCCTACCCATGAGCATGGAATGTTCTTCCATTTGTTTGTATCCTCTTTTATTTCATTGAGCAGTGGTTTGTAGTTCTACTTGAAGAGGTCCTTCACGTCCCTTGTAAGTTGGATTCCTAGGTATTTTATTCTCTTTGAAGCAATTGTGAATGTGAGTTCACTCATGATTTGGCTCTCTGTCTGTTATTGGTGTATAAGAATGCTTGTGATTTTTGTACATTGATTTTGTATCCTGAGACTTTGCTGAAGTTGCTTATCAGCTTAAGGAGATTTTGGGCTGAGACAATGGGGTTTTCTAGATATACAATCATGTCGTCTGCAAACAGGGACAATTTGACTTCCTCTTTTCCCAATTTAATACCCTTTATTTCCTTCTCCTGCCTAATTGCCCTGGCCAGAACTTCCAACACTATGTTGAATAGGAGTGGTGAGAGAGGGCATCCCTGTCTTGTGCCAGTTTTCAAAGGGAATGCTTCCAGTTTTTGCCCATTCAGTATGATATTGGCTGTGAGTTTGTCATAGATAGCTCTTATTATTTTGAGCAAGAAATAACTAAAATCAGAGCAGAACTGAAGGAAATAGAGACACAAAAAACCATTCAAAAAAATTAATGAATCCAGAAGCTGGTTTTTTGAAAGGATCAACAAAATTGATAGACCACTAGCAAGACTAACAAAGAAAAAAAGAGAGAAGAATCAAATAGACGCAATAAAAAATGATAAAGGGGATATCACCACCAATCCCACAGAAATACAAACTACCATCAGAGAATACTACAAACACCTCTACGCAAATAAACTAGAAAATCTAGAAGAAATGGATAAATTCCTCGACACATACACTCTCCCAAGACTAAACCAGGAAGAAGTTGAATCTCTGAATAGACCAATAACAGGAGCTGAAACTGTGGCAATAATCAATAGCTTACCAACCAAAAAGAGTCCAGGACCAGATGGATTCACAGCCGAATTCTACCTGAGGTACAAGGAGGAACTGGTACCATTCCTTCTGAAACTATTCCAATCAATAGAAAAAGAGAGAATCCTCCCTAACTCACTTTATGAGGCCAGCATCATTCTGATACCAAAGGCGGGCAGAGACATAACCAAAAAAGAGAATTTTAGACCAATATCCTTGATGAACATTGATGCAAAAATCCTCAATAAAATACTGGCAAACCGATTCCAGCAGCACATCAAAAAGCTTATCCACCATGATCAAGTGGGCTTCATCCCTGGGATGCAAGGCTGGTTCAATATATGCAAATCAATAAATGTAATCCAGCATATAAACAGAACCAAAGACAAAAACCACACGATTATCTCAATAGATGCAGAAAAGGCCTTTGACAAAATTCAACAACCCTTCATGCTAAAAACTCTCAATAAATTAGGTATTGATGGGACGTATCTCAAAACACTGCTCTACTTCTGCTGTTGAGTAGGGCCAGATGCTCCCTCCAGAGGAAAACACAGACCTGCACCTGCCTTCTGGCCTGGGGAAGGTTTAAGGAGAATGCTGGGGCTAGATGGGGAAGCTGGCTAGCGACGTGCAGCTGACCTATGGATCGTGTTTCTTGTGATGCTGTTGGCTAGTGATGCTGTTGGCTAGTCCCTCTGGTGTGGTGCCCCATTTGCCAGAATGCAGAGGCATTACTAATATCACGTGCTGGTTGCTGTATGCTCCAGGCCCTGTTCTTCATTTCTAACTGATCCCAGGTGGTCTAGCCCTGCTGGTACTCCCAATGTGTCCTGTGGGGTGAGACACGACTAAGCCTCCTGTGAAGGGTCCCAGAATGCTGGGAAAGTTGAATATCCAGCTCCACTATCTTTCCCCATGGGGGAAACTGTGGGCCTAGGGGAATCTGTGTGTGGCACTGTGTAGCTTGGGAGACACGTAACATGATCAAAGAGAAACAATTTCTCTTACCCTTTGAATATGGCTTTTCTTAGTTCTGCAGTCCAATGGGGTGTTTCAGCCTCACTTCTGAGTTCTTGGATATTGGCAAAGGTATTCTTGTTTGTGGATAGTTGCTAGCTGGATTTCTAGGGATGTGGGGAGTTGGGCCAGAGAACTCCAATTCTACCATCTTGCTGATGCATTAGAATTATCTTCTATAAGCACTTACTTAACAGAATTGCTAAACACTACTCAGTTACCACTTCCCCCTCTGTTTTCTGTCTTTTGTTCTTGCCTCCCTTCCAATTTTTGACTTTATAGGTTTGTAACCTTAAAAAATTTTTTTTCTCCCTGTCATTTTGGTAAGATTCTGGGAGAGAATAGAGATAAATAAACGTACTTAATCTGCCATGTTTTAATTTATCTTCATTTAACTAAGTTTCAATAAGCCGTGTAACTTTTTTTCTTTTGAAAAGATTTTTTAAAAATAAGAGATGGGGGTCTCATTATGTTGCCCAGGCTGGCCTTGAAATCCTGGGCTCAAGCAATACTCCCACCTTGGTCTCCCAAAGTGTTGGGATTACTGGTCTGAGCAACTGTGACTGGCCTCCCATGCATTTTTACAACTAGTTTTGCCACATATATGTCTTAACATAGAAGTGCAAAGAGAAATAGAAAAATCCACTATTATCTCTTGCAACTTCAACACCTCTCTATCATTAATTAACAGATCCAGCAGGCAGAAAATCAGTAAGGACATAGCTATACTAATCAATCAACTAGATTTAATGGATACTTATAGACTACTTTATCCAACAACAGGAGAATACATATTTTTCTCAGTCCCACATAAGAATTCACCAAGATGCACCATATGCTGGGCCATAAAATGCACCTTAACAAAATTTAAAAGAATAGAAATCATACAAAGTATGGTCTCAAACCACAATGTAATTAAAAGTAGAAGTCAAATTCACATAAAAAGCTGTATCTATTAAATAAACTGGAAAAATAATTAATAATCTTCCAAAACAAAGCACCAGGCCCAATGACTTTCTTTTTAGACTAGTGAATGCTAACACTTAAGGAACAAATAATGCTAATTCTCTAGAAACTCTTCCAATAGAAGCAGAGGGAATTTTTCCCAACTCATTCTATGAAGCCAGCCAGCATTGCCCTAATAACCAAAACCAGACAAAGACATCACAAGAAAGGAAAGCTACAGACCTTTTAAATCCAACAATGGGTAAAAAGAATTGCACACCATGACTAAATGAGATTTACTCCAGGTATGCACGGCTGGTCCAAAATTCAAAAATCAATTAATATAATCCACCAAATTAACAGGCTAAAGAAGAAAAATCATATAGTAGATGCAAGAAAAGCATTTGACAAAGTCAACACTCATTCATGCTAAAAACTCAAAGCAAACTAGCAACAGAGGGGACCTTCTTAAACTTGATAAAGAGAGTCTAAAGAAAGCATACAAAAACTTGACAGTGAGAAACTAGATGCTCTCCTCCTAAGATTGCCTACACGACAAGGATGTCTCCTCTCATTATTTCTACTCAACTTAGCACTGGAAATGCTAGCTAACATGAGAAAGTGAAATAAAAGGCATTCACATTGGGATGGTATAAATAAAACTGGTTTTTGTTTGCAGATGACATAAATGACTGTTTAGAAAATCTTAAAGAACAGAAAAAAAAAAAACTCCTGGAACTAATAAAAATTATACCTGCAGGATACAAAGTCCATACAAAAGTCAATTCACATGCTTTAAAAAACTAGTTTGAGGATGGAGGCAGAACAGGATGAGTGAATAGAAGCCTCCACCAATCTTCTTCTCCATAGGAACATGAAATTTAACAACTATCTACCCAAAAAAGCAACTTCATAAGAGCCAAAAATCAAGTGAGTAATCACAGTATCTAGTTTTAACATCATATCAAGGAAACAGACACTGAAGACGGTGGGAAAGACAGTCTTGAGTTGCCAACGTCACCCCTTCCCCATCTCGGTAGTGGCTGCATAGTGCAGACAACGAATCTGTGTGCTTTGGGGAGACAGAGTGCAGTGATTGTGGGACTTTCCGTCGGAATTCAGTGCTGCCCTGTCACAGCGGAAAGCAACACCAGGCAGAACTCAGATGACGCCCGCAGAGGGAACATTTTGAGCAGCCCTAGTCAGAGGGAATTGCCCATCCTCATGGTGGGAACATGGGTTTTGGCAGACCTTGCCATCACAGGCTAAAGTTCTCTGGAGTCCGAAATAAACTTGAAAGATAGTCTAGGCCACAGAGACTGCAACTCCTAGGCAAGATCTAGTGCTGTACTGGGCTCAGAGACAGTGGACAGGGGTGGCATTCAACCTAGTGAGACACTACCCTGGGTAGCTAATGGAGTGCTTGTGCCACCCCTCCCCAACACTAGGCAGCACAGCTCACAGCTATGAAAGAGACTCCTTCCTTCTGCTTGAGGAGAGGAGAGGGAAGCATACAAAGGGCTTTGTCTTGCAACTTGGATATCAGCTCAGCCACAGCAGAAAGGGCACTGGGCAGTCCTGAGGCCCCCATGCCAGGCCCTAGTTCCTAGACGACATTTCCAGACACACCCTGGGCCAGAAAGAAACCTGCTGCCTTGAAGAGAAGGACCCAGTCCTGGCAGGATTCATCACCAGCTCTTGGGCCCTGAATAAACAGCAGAGGTAGCTAAGCAGTACACACCATGGCATTGGATGAGACTCTGAGATGTGCCAGCTTCATGTGTGACCCAGCACATTCCCAGCTGTGGCAGCTACAAAGAGAGACTCCTTCTGCTTGAGAAAAGCAGAAGGAAGAGTAAAAGGGACTTTGTCTTGCAGCTTAGGTACCAGCTTGGCCACAGTGGAGTAGAGTACCAAGCAGCCTCTTAGGGTCCCCAGTTCCCGGCATTGGTTCTTGGACAGCATTTGCAGCATTTTTAGACTTGACTTGGGCCAGAGGGGAACCAACTGCCCTGAAAGGTGAGTCCCCAGCCTGGCAGCATTCACCACAAGCTGACTAAAAAGCCTTTGGTCCTTAAGTGAACATTAATGGTAGCCTGACAGCACTCACTGCGGGCCTGTGGTGGTGGTGGCCACAGGGAAAGACTCCGCTGTCTGTGAAAAGGAAAGAGAGGAGTGGAAAGGGCTATGTCTTGTGGTTTGAGTGCCAGTTCAGCTGCAGAAAAATAGAGCACCAGGTAGATTTCTAAGGTTTCTGACTCCAGGCTTTGGCTCCCAGATGGTACCTCTGGACCCACATGGGGCCTGGGGGAACTTGCAGCCCTTAAGGGAAAGACACAAGACTGGCTGGCTTCACCACCTGCTGGTTGTAGAGCCCTAGGGCCTTGAGTGAACATAGGTGGTAGCCAGGTTACAGCGGGCCTTGGGTGAGATCCAGTGCTATGCAAGATTCAGGTCTGACCCAGTGCAGTCCCAGTGGCAGTGTCCACAGGGGCGCTGTGTCACCCCTCCCCCAGCTCCAGGCAGCTCAGCACTGAGAGAGAGAGAGAGATTCTGTTTGTTTGGCAGAAAGTAAGAGAAGAGAACAAGAGTGTTTGCCTGGTAATTCAGAGAATTTTTCCAGATTTTTTCCAAGACCACCAAGAGTCATAGCATTACTGGGCTTGGGGTGCCCCCTAATGCAGATATGGCTGCAGTGACCAAAAACTTAGATCACAACACCCAAGTCCCTTAGAATACCTGGAAAGCCTTCCCAAGAAGGATAGGTAAAGACAACCTCAGACTGTGAAGTCGACAATAAACACCTAATTCTTCAATGTCTAGACACCAGTGAACAACCACAGGCATCAAGACCATCCGGTAAGACATGACTTCATCAAATGAAGTAAGTAAGGCAACAGGGACCTATCACAGAGAGAAAGAGATATGTGGTCTTTCTAACACAGAATTCAAAATAGCTATTTTGAGGAAACTCAGATAAATTCAAGATAACACAGAGAAGGAATTCAGGATCCTATCAGATAAATTAAAAAAAGAGATTGAAGTAATTAAAAAGAAACAAATTCTGGAGTTGAAAAATGCAATCGACATAATGAAGAATGCATCGGAGTCTCTTAATAGCAGAATTGATCAAGCAGAACAAAGAATTAGTAAGCTTGAAGACAGGCTATTTGAAAATACACAATCAGAGAAGACAATAGAAAAAAGAATAGAAAAGGATGAAGCATGCTTACAAGATCTAGAAAACAGCCTCAACGGGGCAAATCTAAGAGTTATGGGCCTAAAAGAGGAGGTAGAGACAGAGATAGGGGTAGAAAGGTTATTCAAAGAGATAATAACAGAGAACTTCCAAAACCTCAAGAAGGACATCAATATTCGGTACAAGAAGGTTACAGAACACCAAGCAGAGTTAACCCAAAGAAGACTACCTCAAGACATTTAATATCAAACTACTATAAAGGTGAAGGATAAAGAAAGGATCCTAAAAGCAGCAAGAGAAAAGAAACAACTAACATACAATGGAGGTCCAATATGTCTGGCAGCAGACATTTCAGTGGAAACTTTACAGGCAAGGAGAGAGTGGCATGATATATTTAAAGTGCTGAGGGAAAAAGATCTTGTACCCTAGAATAGTAAATCTGGTGAAAGTATCCTTCAAACATGAAGGAGAAATAAAGATGTTCCCAGACAAACAAAAGCTGAGGGATTTCATCAACACAAGATCTGTCCTACAAGAAATGCTAAAGGGAGTTATTGAATTTAAAAGAAAAAGACAGTGAGCAATCAGAAATCATCTGAAGGCACAAAACTCACTGCTGATTTTAAGTACACAGAAAAACATAGGATATTAAACACTGTAATTGCTGTGTAAATTACTCACATGTTAAGTAGAAAGGCTAAAAGATGAACCAATCAAAAATAATAACTACCACAACTTTCAAGACATGGACAGTACAATAAGATGTAAATAGGAACAACAAGAAGTTTAAAAGCAGGGGTACAAGGTTAAAGTGTAGAATGCTTATTAGTTTTCTTTTCAAATTTCTCATTTGTTTAGGCAATCAGTGTTGTCATCAGTTTAAAATAATGGGCTATAATTATTTGCAAGCTTCATGGTAGTCTTAAATAACATACAACAGCTACACAAAAAATAAAAAGCACCAAGAAATTAAAACATACCACCTGAGAAAATCACCTTCACTGAAAGGAAGACAGAAAGGAAGAAAAGAAGGAAGAGAAGACCACACAACAACCATAAAACAAATAACAAAATCACAGGAGTACATCCTTACTTATCAATAATAACACTGGATGTAAATGGACTAAACTCTCCAATCAAAAGACATACAGTGGCTGAACGGATTAAAAAACAAGACCCAACAATCTGTTACCTAAAAGAAATATGCTTAACCTATAAAGACATGAATAAATTGAAAATAAAAGAATGGAAAAATATATTCAATGCAAATGGAAAGCACAAAATAGGAGGAGTAGCTATACTTATATCAGACAAAATAGATTTCAAGACAAAAACCACAAAAAGAGACAAATAAGGTTATTACATAATGATAAAGGGGTCAATTCAGCAAGAGGGCATAACTTTATTGTAAATATATATGCAACTGACAATGAAGCACCCAGACATATAAGGCAAATATTATTAGAGCTAAAGAGAGAGAGAGACCCCAATACAATAATAGCCAGACACTTCAACATCCCACTTTTAACATGGGACAGATTATCCAGACAGAAAATCAACAAACACTGGACTTAATCTCCACTACAGACCAAATGGACCTAAGAGATACTTACAGAGCATTTTATTCAATAGATATAGAGTGCACATTCTTCTCCTGAACTCATGGATCATTCTCAAGGATAGACCATATATTAGACCACAAAACAAGTCTTAAAACATTAAAAAAATTCAAATATGAAGTACCTTCTCTGACCACAATGGAATAAAACTAGAAGTCAATAACAAGAGGAATTTTGATAACTATTCTAACACATCAAATTTAAACAATACGCTCCTGAATGACCAGTGGGTCAGTGAAGAAATTAAGAGGGAATTGAAGGGCAGGCAATTACAGTTCAGACAACAGGCACGGATGAAAGAAGGATTTGAAATATTTCTTGAACCAAATGATAAGAGAAACATAACACATAACAAAACCTAGGGAATACAGCAAAAGCAGTACTGAGAGAAGTTTATAGCTATAAGTGCCTATAACAAAAATAGTAGAAAAACATCAAATAAACAACCTAATGATACATCTTAAAAAACTAGAAAAGCAAGAGCAAACCAAACCCAAAATTAGTGGAAGAAAAGAAATAACAAAGATCAGAGCAGAGATAAATTAAATTGAAATGAAGAAGGCAATACAAAAGATCAATGAAATGAAAAATTTGTTTTTTGAAAAGATAAATAAAATCAGTAAACTAAGAAAAAAAGAGAGAAGACTCAAATAAATAAAATTGGGGATGAAAAAGAAGACTACCAATGCCACAGAAATTCAAAGGATCATTAGAGGCTACTATGAGCAACTATATGCCAATAAATTGGAAATCCTAGAAGAAATGGATACATTCCTAGACACATACAACCTACCAAGATTGAACCATGAAGAAATCTAAGATTTAAACAGACCAATAACAGGTAATGAGATTGAAGCCATAGTAAAAAGTCTCCCAGCAAAGAAAAGCCCAGGACCTGATGGCTTCATTGCTGAATTTCAGCAAACATTTAAAGAACTAATACCAATCTGACTCAAACTATCCCCAAAAATAGAAGAGGTGGGAATACTTTGAAACTCATTCTATGAGGCCAGTATTACCTTGATACCAAATCCAGAAAAAGACATATCAAACAAAGAAAACTGCAGGTCAATATCCCTGATGAAGACTAATGCAAAAATCTAAGACAAAATGGTAACAAACCGAATTCAATGACAGATTAGAAATATCATTCATTATGACCAAGTGGGATTTATCCAAGGGATGCAAGGATGGTTCAACATATGCAAATCAACCAATGTGATACATTATATCAACAGAATGAAGTATAAAAGCCATATGATCATTTCAATTAATACCGAAAAGCATTTGATAAAATTCAACATCACTTCATGACAAAAAAAAAATTTTAAAAACTGGGTATAGAAGGAACATACTTCAACATGATAAAAGCCATATATGATAGATCCACAGTTAGTATCATACTAAATGGGGAAAAACTAAAAGCTTTTCCTCTAAGATCTGGAACACAAGTATATCCACTTTCACTACTGTTATTCAACAGTACTGGAAGTCCTAGCTAGAGCAATTAGACAAGAGAAAGATATGAAGGGCATCCAGATTGGGATGGAAGAAATCAAATCATCCTTGCTTGCAGAAGATACAATCTTTTTTTTTTTTTTTTTTTTTTTTGAGACTGAGTCTCCCTCTGTTGCCCAGGCTGGAGTGCAGTGGCTCTATCTCTCCTCACTGCAACCTCCGCCTCCTGGATTTAAGCGATTCTCCTGCCTCGGCCTCCTGAGTAGCTGGGATGACAGGCACATGCCACCACACCCGGCTTTTTTTAAATTTTTTTTATTTTTAGTAGAGATGGGATTTCAGCATGTTGGTCAGGCTGGTCTCAAACTCCTGACCTGGTGATCTGCCTGCCTCGGCCTCCCAGAGTGCTGGGATTACAGGCGTGAGCCACTGTGCCTGGCTGATATAATCTTATATTTGGAAAAACATAAAGTCTCTATCAAAAAACTATTAGAACTGATATATAAATTCAGAAAAGTTGTAGGATACAAAATCAACATATAAAAATCAGTAGCATTTCTATATGCCAAGAGCAAACAATCTGAAAAAGAAATAAAAAAGTAATCCTATTTACAATAGGTACAAATAAAACTCAATACATAGGAATTAACCAAAGAATTGAAAGATCTCTGCAATGAAAACTATAAAATATTGATGCAACAACTAAAGAGGACACAAAAAAGGAAAACATTCCATGTTCATGGATTGGAAGATTCAATATTGTTAAAATGTCTGCACTACCCAAAGCAATCTACAGGTTCAATGCAATCCTTATCAAAATACCAAAGACATTCTTTACAGAAATAGGAAAAAAAAATCCTAAAATTTTTACAGAACCCACCAAAGACCCAGAATAGCCAAAGCTATCCTAAACAAAATGAACAAAACTGGATGAATCACATTACCTGACTTCAAATTATACCACAGAGCTACAGTAACCAAAACAGCATGGTACTGGCATAGAAACAGACACATAGACCAATGGAAGAGAACAGAGAACCCAGAGACAAATCAATACATCTACAGTGAACTCATTTTTGAGAAAGGTAGTAAGCACATATATTGGGGAAAGGACAGTCTCTTCAAGAAATGGTGCTGGGGGCTGGGCGCAGTGGTTCACACCTGTAATCCCAGCAATTTGGGAGGCTGAGCTGGTGGGGACTGCCTGAGGTCAGGAGTTCAAGACCAGCCTGGCCAACATGGGGAAACCCCATCTCTACTGAAAAATACAAAAGTTACACGGGCGTGGTGGGCACACACTTGTAATCCCAGCTACTCGGAGGCTGAGGCAGGAGAATTGCTTGAACATGGGAGGTGGAGGTTGCAGTGAGCCAAGATCATGCCATTGCACTTCAGCCTGGGTGACAAGAGTGAAACTCTTGTCTCAAAAACAAAAATGGTGCTGGGAAAACTATATATCAGTATGCAGAAGAATGAAACTAGACCCCTATCTCTTGCCATATACAAAAAACAAGTGAATTAAAGACTTAAGTCTAAAACCTCAAACTATAAAACTACTAAAAGAAAACATTTAGGAAACTCTCCAGAACATTGGAGTGGGCAAAGATTTCTTGAGCAATATCCCATAAGCACAGGCAACCAAAGCAAAAATGGACAAGTAGAATCACATCAAGTTAAAAAGCTTCTACAAAGTGAGACTCAAAAAATAAAAATAAAAAATAAAATAAAAAGCTTCCGCACAGCAAAGGAAACAATCAAAAAATTGAAGAGACAATCCACAGAATGGGGGAAAATATTTGCAAACTATCCATCTGACAAGGGATTAATAACCAGAATATATAAAGAGCTCAAACAACACTATAGGAAAAAAATATAATAATCCAAATAAAAATGGGCAAAAGATCTAAATAGACATTTCTTAGGTGAAGACATAAAAATGGTAAATAGGTATATGAAAAGGTGCTCAACATCACTGATCATTAGAGAAATGCAAATCAAAACTAGAATGAAATATCATCTCACCCCAGTTAAGATGGATTTCATCCAAAAGACAGGCAATAACAAATGCTGGAGAAAGGGAGCCCCTGTATGCTGTGGGTGGGAATGTAAATTAGTATAACCACTATGGAGAACATTTTGGAAGTTCCTCAAAAAGCTAAAAATAGAACTACCATATGATCCAGCAATCCCAGTGCTAGGTATACACCCAAAAGAAAGGAATTCAATATATTGAAGAGATATCTACTCCCATGTTTATTGCAGCATAATTCATAATAGTCAAGATTTGGAAACAACCTAAGTGTCCATCAACAGGTGAATGGATAAAGAAAATGTGGCACATATACACAATGGAGTACTATTTAGCCATAAAAAAGAATGAGATCCTGTCACGTGCAACAATATGGGTAGAACTGGAGGCCATTATGCTAAGTGAAATAAGCCAGGCACAAAAAGACAAACTTCACCATATTCTCACTTATTTGTGGGAGCTAAAAATTAAAACAATTGAACTCTTGGACATAGAGAGTAGAATGATGGTTGCCAGGGGCTGGAAAGAGTAGAGTGTGTGTGTGTGTGTGTGTGTGTGTGTGTGTGTGTGTGTGGTGGGGGATTGTTGTGGGGGAGAGTAGGTATGGTTAATGGGTTCAAAAAAATAGAATAAGATGTATTTGATGTCACAACTGGGTGACTATAGTCGATAATAATTTAATTGGATGTTTAAAAATAACTAAAAGAGTATAATTAGACTGTAACACAAAGAATAAATGCTTAAGGTGATGGATACCCCACTTACCCTGATATGATTATTATACATTGTATGCCTATATCATAATCTCATAAACCCACAAAATATATATACCTACTATGTACCCACAAAAATTAAAAATTTAAAAATTTAAAAAAACTAGTTTACCCAGTACTAAACAATGTACTATTTAATTTTTCTAGTTTTGTACTTTATATAAATGGAATTACACTTTACCTTTCCTCTATGATTTGCTTTTATCATTCCATATTATGCTTGTGAGATTCATTCATACTGATTAGTGTTGCTTTGTATATTTTTACTGTTGTATAGTGTATACATTTTTAGCATGTTTACACCAGGGGTATGGATGGAGCTGGAAGCCATTATGCTCAGCAAACTAATGCAGGAACAGAAAGCCAAACACTGCATGTTCTCACTTATAATTGGGAGCTGAATGATGAGAACACATGGACACATGGTGGGGTGAGTGGGAACAACATATGCAGGGAACCTGCTGGTTGGGGGGAATGGGGAAAGGGAGAGCATCAGGAAGAATAGCTAATGGATGCTGGGTGTAACACCTGGCTGATGGGATGATCTGTGCAGCAAACCACCATGGCACATGTTACCTATGTAACACACTTGCTGTATCCCTGAACTTAAAAGTTGAAGAGAAAAAATAAAGACCAGCTTGGGCAACAGGGTGAGACCCTGTCTTTACAGAAAGTGGAAAAATTGGCCAGGCATGGTGACACATCCCACTTGGGAGGCTGAGATGGGAGGACTGCTAGAGCCTAGGTGTTGCGGGAAGTCAGGGACCCTGAACGGAGGGACCAGCTGAAGCCACGGCAGAAGAACATAAATTGTGAAGATTTCATGGACATTTATTAGTTCCCCAAATTAATACTTTTATAATTTTTTACACCTGTCTTTACTGCAATCTCTGAACATAAATTCTGAAGATTTAATGGACACATCACTTTCCCAATCAATACGCTTGTGATTTCCTATCCCTGTCTTTATTTTAATCTCTTAATCCCGTCATCTTCGTAAGCTGAGGAGGATGTATGTTGCCTCGGGACCCTGTGATGATTGCATTAACTGCACAAATTGTTTGTACAGCATGTGTGTTTGAACAATATGAAATCTGGGCACCTTGAAAAAAGAACAGGATAACAGCAATGTTCAGGGAACAAGAGAGATAACCTTAAACTCTGACTGCCGCTGAGCCGGGCGGAACAGAGCCATATTTCTCTTCTTTCAAAAGCAAATGGGAGAAATATCGCTGAATTCTTTTTCTCAGCAAGGAACATCCCTGAGAAAGAGAATGCGTCCCTGAGGGAAGGCCTCTGAAATGGCTGCTTCAGGGGAGGCTCTCTTTTACGGTTGCAGCTGTAGGGATGAAATAAGCCCCAGTCTCCTGTAGCGCTCCCAGGCTTATTAGGACGAGGAAATTACCCCCTAATAAATTTTGATCAGACTGGTTGTCTGCTCTCAAACCCTGTCTCCTGATAAGATGTTATCAATGACAATGCGTGCCCAGTTGGACATGAAACTTCATTAGTATTTTTAATTTTGCCCCGGTCCTGTGGTCCTGTGATCTCACTCTGCCTCCATTTGCCTTGTGACATCTTATTACCTTGTGAAGCATGTGATCTTTGTGACCCACACCCTATTCATACACTCCCTCCCCTTTTGAAAATCACTAATAAAAACCTGCTGGTTTTGTGGCTTGGGGGGCATCACGGAACCTGCTGACATGTGATGTCTCCCCCGGATACCCAGCTTTAAAATTTCTCTCTTTTGTACTCTTTCCCTTTATTTCTCAGGCTGGCTGACACTTAGGGAAAATAGAAAAGAACCTATGTGACTAGCGGGGGCAGGTTCCCCCGATACCTAGGAGTTTGAGGTTGTGGTGAGCTGTGGTCATGCCACTGCACTCCAGCCTGGGTGACAGAGTGAGAACCTGTCTAAAAAAAAAAAAAAAAAGAAAAAGACTAAGCCAATCTATTGGTTGAATCACAGGTGATTTTGTTGTGGTAGAAACTGGTGAGCACCACTGAAAAGCACTGCCTTATCCTTGCTAGCCTCCCATTGTATAGGCTGGAAAAGCCAGATATTTTTTTTCTAGTCTCTCTTGTAGCTAGAATTGGCCATATAACCCACTGTGGCCAATGAGATATACAAGGACATGTAAGAAATTATTTTCTTTTCCTTTTTTTTTTTTCTTTTTGATACAGGGTCTCATTGTCACCCAGGTTGAAGTGTAGTGGCCCAATCATAGCTTACTGCAGCCTCAAACTCCTGGGCTTGGGCATTCTTCCTACCTCAGCCTCCCCAGTAGCTGAGACTACAGGTGTGTGCCACCATGCCTGGCTAATTTTTGTATTTTGTGCATAGAGGCAGGGTTTTGTCATATTGCCCATGCTGGTCTTAACTCCTGAGCTCAGGCAGTCTGCCCACCTCAGCCTCCCAATGCTGGGATTACAGGCATGTGTCACCACACTTTCCTGACAAAAGGATAGCACCATTAAGGAAAAGGTCCTCTTTGCTACGTTGGCTACCCACTCACTGTCACCTGCCTTTCTCACATTGAGTGCAGACTTGTGCTGTTAGAGCTTCAGCAGCCATCTTGTGACCATGAGGCCACAGATGAGGCCAACACTCTGAGGATGGTGGAGAAGAAGGTTGGAAAAAGCCTACGGCCTTAACCACTGGCTACTTCTAGGCTTCTTAAGTAGCAGAAAAAAATTTTTTTTGTTGTTAAGCCATTATTAATCAAGTTTTCTGTTACTTACAGTTAAACCAAAACTAATAAGTATATGTTTGGTGTCTTCATTATACATTTCTCCATGAGTGGAAATTAAAGTTTCTTTCTTCTTCTTTTTTTGCAATTGCAAACAATGCTGCTACGAATATTATTTTACACATCTCCTGAGGTAACTGTGCATGGATTTCTCTAGGGTATACAGTGGTATTGAGCTTGTAACCATGGGGTATGTGCATCTTTAACTTTGCCTGATAATGTAAAATTCTTTCAAATTGGTTGTGCCAATTTACACTTCCATCAGCAATCCACATTAGTGTTTCATTGTTGCGTATCCTCACCAATGACTTTCTTTTTTATTTTATTATATTTTATTTATTATTATTATACTTTAAGTTTTAGGGTACATGTGCACAATGTGCAGGTTAGTTACATATGTATACATGTGCCATGCTGGTGTGCTGTACCCACTAACTCATCATCTAGCATTAGGTATATCTTCCAGAGCTATCCCGCCCCCCTCCCCCCACTCCAAAAGAGTCCCCAGAGTGTGATGTTCCCTTTCCTGTGTCCATGTGTTCTCATTGTTCAATTCCCACCTATGAGTGAGAATATGCAGTGTTTGGTTTTTTGTTCTTGCGATAGTTTACTGAGAATGATGATTTCCAATTTCATCCATGTCCCTACAAAGGACATGAACTCATCATTTTTTATGGCTGCATAATATTCCATGGTGTATATGTGCCACATTTTCTTAATCCAGTCTATCATTGTTGGACATTTGGGTTGGTTCCAAGTCTTTGCTATTGTGAATAATGCCGCAATAAACATACGTGTGCATGTGTCTTTATAGCAGCATGATTTATAGTCCTTTGGGTATATACCGAGTAATGGGATGGCTGGGTCAAATGGTATTTCTAGTTCTAGATCCCTGAGGAACCGCCACACTGACTTCCACAATGGTTGAACTAGTTTACAGTCCCACCAACAGTGTAAAAGTGTTCCTATTTCTCCACATCCTCTCCAGCACCTGTTGTTTCCTGACTTTTTAATGATTGGCATTCTAACTGGTGTGAGATGGTATCTCATTGTGGTTTTGATTTGCATTTCTCTGATGGCCAGTGATGGTGAGCATTTTTTCATGTGGTTTTTGGCTGCATAAATGTCTTCTTTTGAGAAGTGTCTGTTCGTTTCCTTTGCCCACTTTTTGATGGGGTTGTTTGTTTTTTTCTTGTAAATTTGTTTGAGTTCATTGTAGATTCTGGATATTAGCCCTTTGTCAGATGAGTAGGTTGTGAAAATTTTCTCACATTTTGTAGGTGGCCTGTTCGCTCTGATGGTAGTTTCTTTTGCTGTGCAGAAGCTCTTTAGTTTAATTACATCCCATTTGTCAATTTTGTCTTTTGTTGCCATTGCTTTTGGTGTTTTAGACATGAAGTCCTTGCCCACGCCTATGTCCTGAATGGTAATGCCTAGGTTTTCTTCTAGGGTTTTTATGGTTTTAGGTCTAATGTTTAAGTCTTTAATCCATCTTGAATTGATTTTTGTATAAGGTGTAAGGAAGGGATCCAGTTTCAGCTTTCTACATATGGCTAGCCAGTTTTCCCAGCACCATTTATTAAATAGGAAATCCTTTCCCCATTGCTTGTTTTTCTCAGGTTTGTCAAAGATCAGATGGTTGTAGATATGAAGCGTTATTTCTGAGGGCTCTGTTCTGTTCCATTGATCTATATCTCTGTTTTGGTACCAATACCATGCTGTTTTGGTTACTGCAGCCTTGTAGTATAGTTTGAAGTCAGGTAGTGTGATGCCTCCAGCTTTGTTCTTTTGGCTTAGGATTGACTTGGAGATGCGGGCTCTTTTTTGGTTCCATATGAACTTTAAAGTAGTTTTTTCCAATTCTGTGAAGAAAGTCATTGGTAGCTTGATGGGGATGGCATTGAATCTGTAAATTACCTTGGGCAGTATGGCCATTTTCACGATATTGATTCTTCCTACCCATGAACATGGAATGTTCTTCCATTTCTTTGTATCCTCTTTTATTTCATTGAGCAGTGGTTTGTAGTTCTCCTTGAAGAGGTCCTTCACATCCCTTGTAAGTTGGATTCCTAGGTATTTTATTCTCTTTGAAGCAATTGTGAATGGGAGTTCACTCATGATTTGGCTCTTTGTTTGTCTGTTGTTGGTGTATAAGAATGCTTGTGATTTTTGTACATTGATTTTGTATCCTGAGACTTTGCTGAAGTTGCTTATCAGCTTAAGGAGATTTTGGGCTGAGACGATGGGGTTTTCTAGATATACAATCATGTCATCTGCAAACAGGGACAATTTGACTTCCTCTTTTCCTAATTGAATACCCTTTATTTCCTTCTCCTGCCTAATTGCCCTGGCCAGAACTTCCAACACTATGTTGAATAGGAGTGGTGAGAGAGGGCATCCCTGTCTTGTGCCAGTTTTCAAAGGGAATGCTTCCAGTTTTTGCCCATTCAGTATGATATTGGCTGTGGCTTTGTCATAGATAGCTCTTATTATTTTGAGATACGTCCCATCAATACCTAATTTACTGAGAGTTTTTAGCATGAAGGGTTATTGAATTTTGTCAAAGGCCTTTTCTGCATCTATTGAGATAATCATGTGGTTTTTGTCTTTGGTTCTGTTTATATGCTGGATTACATTTATTGATTTGCGTATATTGAATCAGCCTTGCATCCCAGGGATGAAGCCCACTCGATCATGGTGGATAAGCTTTTTGATGTGCTGCTGGATTCAGTTTGCCAGTATTTTATTGAGGATTTTTGCATCAATGTCCATCAAGGATATTGGTCTAAAATTCTCTTTTTTTGGTTGTGTCTCTGCCCGGCTTTGGTATCAGAATGATGCTGGCCTCATAAAGTGAGTTAGGGAGGATTCCCTCTTTTTCTACTGATTGGAATAGTTTCAGAAGGAATGGTACCAGTTCCTCCTTGTACCTCAGGTAGAATTCGGCTGTGAATCCATCTGGTCCTGGACTCTTTTTGGTTGGTAAGCTACTTATTATTGCCACAATTTCAGCTCCTGTTATTGGTCTATTCAGAGATTCAGCTTCTTCCTGGTTTAGTCTTGGGAGAGTGTATGTGTCGAGGAATTTATCCATTTCTTCTAGATTTTCTAGTTCATTTGCGTAGAGTTGTTTGTAGTATTCTCTGATGGTAGTTTGTATTTCTGTAGGATCGGTGGTGATATCCCCTTTATCATTTTTTATTGCGTCTATTTGATTCTTCTCTCTTTTTTTCTTTATTAGTTTTGCTAGTGGTCTATCAATTTTGTTGATCCTTTCAAAAAACCAACTCCTGTATTCGTTAATTTTTTGAATGGTTTTTTGTGTCTCTATTTCCTTCAGTTCTGCTCTGATTTTAGTTATTTCTCGCCGTCTGCTACCTTTTGAATGTGTTTGCTCTTGCTTTTCTAGTTCTTTTAATTGTGATGTTAGGGTGTCAATTTTGGATCTTTCCTGCTTTCTCTTGTGGGCATTTAGTGCTATAAATTTCCCTCTACACACTGCTTTGAATGCATCCCAGAGATTTGGTATGTTGTGTCTTTGTTTTCATTGGTTTCAAAGAACATCTTTATTTCTGCCTTCATTTTGTTATGTACCCAGTAGTCATTCAGGAGCAGGTTGTTCAGTTTCCATGTAGTTGAGCGGTTTTGAGTGAGATTCTTAATCCTGAGTTCTAGTTTGATTGCACTGTGGTCTGAGAGACAGTTTGTTATAATTTCTGTTCTTTTACATTTGCTGAGGAGACCTTTACTTCCAAGTATGTGGTCAATTTTGGAATAGGTGTGGTGTGGTGCTGAAAAAAATGTATATTCTGTTGATTTGGGGTGGAGAGTTCTGTAGATGTCTATTAGGTCTGCTTGGTGCAGAGCTGAGTTCAATTCCTGGGTATCCTTGTTGACTTTCTGTCTCGTTGATCTAATGTTGACAGTCTCACCAATGACTTTCTAAAACTTTAATATATTTATCAATCTGGTATGTGTAAAATGGATCTCATTAGGCTATTAATATTTTTCTTTGATTACTAATGAGGCTGAACATCAGGTCATGTATTCATCAATGAGCTGAATTTATCAAATGTTTACTCGTATAGTTTGAGTAACTTTTGAATTGTTGTAGAAATCCTTCAGTATCCTGAGACAATAAAGATATTCTATATTTCTAATTTTTTTCAGTTTAGCCTTTCAAATGTACATATTTAATTCATCTGAGATTATTTTTATGTACAATATGAGGTTAAAAAAATTTATTTTATTTTTTACTAAGCCGAGGAAAGCAGGAAGTAAAAAACATTTTGAAATAAAGCTTTATTTTTTCCCTCTTGAGATGATCATCTAATTTTACTCCTTTAAGCTATTAATGTAATAAATTACATTAAAACATTTAAAAATATGATACTGAACTTGCACTTCTGGTATAAATCAACTTGATCATATATCATTTATTTTTCATATATATTACTGGATTTATTTATTTATGTATTTAGAGACAAGGTCTCACTCTATTACCTAGGCTGGAGTACAGTGGCATGATCATAGCTCACTGTGGCCTCAAATTCCTGGGCTTGAGCAATCCTCCTGCCTCAGCCTCCCAAGTAGCTAGGACTACAGGTGCATGCCACTACACTTGGCTAATTTTTAATTTTTGTATAGAGATGGGGTCTCTCTATGTTTCCCAGACTGGTCTGAAACTCCTGGCCTCAAGCAATCCTCCTGCCTTGGCCTCCCAAAGTGCTGGGATTAAAGGTGTGAGCCACTATGCCTGGCCTATTGCTAAATTTATTTGATAATATTCTATTCAGGATTTGGCATCTACATTCACGAATAAGATTAGCTTGTGATTTTCCTTTCTTATATAGCTCTTGCCTGAATTTCAGTATGCTAATAACTTCATCTCACTGTTTAGGATTGGAATTATCTGTGCTAGTGCTCTCTTCCCTTCCTCAATGATTGTTAAATAATAATTGTTTCTTTTCAGTTAAAACATTACTCAAGTTCTATATGTATTTTTTGGGTCAATTTTGACGATTTATATTTTTCTAGAATTTTTCCTTAGTTGCTGTGGAATTGGGGCCCACAGAACAATGCTGCTTGGCTCCCTGGATTCAGCCCCCTTCCTAGGGATATGTACGGACAAATTTTCCACCTTGGCAGGGGTCCTGGGTCCACAGTATGTAAAACTCCTGGGCCTCTGCGTGTGCCTGAGTGGCTGCTCTGCCGAGACTCCACACAGCTGTGTGTATTGGACCCAAGGCCCTGGTGGCATGGGCTCATAAGGGCATCTCCTGATTGTGGGTTGCAGAGACCCATGGGAGAAGTGTGGTATTGGCATAAGGATGAATATGTAGGGCAATGGAATAGAATTTAAAAATCCAGAAATATACTGTCACATTCACTCTTAACTGACTTTCAACAAAAGTTCCAAAACAATTCAATGGGGGAAACAACAGTCTTTTCAGCAAATTATGCTGGGACAACTAGATCTCCAGAAAGAAAAGAATCCATTTGGACCCCTACCACAAAATGAACTCACTGCAAATATAGACCAAATATAAACTCAAAGTAGACCAAGGGCTTAAATGTAAGAGCGAACACTATAATACTCATAGGAAAAAAACAGTTTGGATTTGGCAATGGTTTCCTTGATACGGCACCCAAAGCACACAGAACCAAAGGAAAAAAACAGGTAATTAGGAATTCATAAAAATGTAAAACTTCTGTGCTTTAAGGGTATCATGAAGAACCTGAGAAGACAATTCACAGAATGGGAGAAAATCCTTGTAAATCATGTTTGATAAAGGACTTGTATCTAGAATATAAAGAACTCTTAGGGCTAGTCATGGTGGCTTACAAGTAAGGTAATTATTGACCCAACTCTTGGTGAATCCGTGAGTGAGGGTTATCATAGTGATGGTGGGTTAAATCAAGACATTAATGTTTGCCAAATTGTTAAGAAACACCTCCTACTATCACACAGTTCAAAACTCAACAATCACAAATATGGCGGCTGAGCGCTTTCCTACAGCATTGTTTATTGTCATGTCATACTCTTGTCTACTTTACAAATTTTTATTTTACAATAGTTTGTATTCATCCATCCATTCATTCATTTTCTAACCTGCTTATTCCAGTTCAGGGTTGTGGTTGGCCAGAGCCCATTTTGGCAGCTCAGGGCTCAAGGCAGGAGCCTACCCTGGACAGGACGCCATCCCATTGTAGGGCACACTGACATTCACACCCACACTCATTCCAACTGAGACCACGCAGACACACCAATGAACTTCAAGTGCACAGCTTTGGGATGTGAGAGGAAACCAGAATACCTGGAGGAAACCCACGCAGACACGGGGAGAGCATGCACACTCCACACAGCAGTGGCCCCAACAGGGAATCAAGTTTTTTCTAATCAATGTTATAATGAACATTATTTGAGGACCTGCTGTTTGTCATTTCCTATGTTTGGAATTCTCCCCCATTTGGCTAGGTTTTACTTCTTTTCAATAATGCAGATGTCACCTTTTTAGAAAAGTCCTCCCTGACTCCCTCTCCTCCAGGCCAGAGTTGGTGCACCCTCTTTGTGTTCCTCTGCATCCTGGCCTCACTCCTATATAATACCTGTTTCTTGTTTGTCTCTTGCACTAAATGAAAGATTATTGAAGGCAGGTACTTTATCCTTTAGTTAAAAGCACCTTGCCCTGTGTCTAGGTGCTTAATAGACTAAGAAAGTCTGTCTATACCTTGTGATAACCTACTAACTTTAACAGTAATGTATCTTGCCTTTCAGGTAGAATTTGTGGTGTGTGTGTGTGTGTGTATGTGTGTGTACGGGCACTGGACACCACCGTGGTTGACTTTTATAAGCCAGCAGGACACATTTTGAGATATTTCCAGGATTTGCCACCAACCTGAATGAGGCTCTTGGATTGAGGATTATGTATGGACACAAATTGTAAAACTCTAATCCAAGAGTCTAGCATTTTCTAAGTTAGTAATTAGTTCTGATTATCAAATTTTTTATGTTTTATAAAAGAAGGCACTTGAAAATAACATATAAGACACATTTCATTAAGTTCCACTAGGATTTTAAAATCTAGTTTAAGTTTTCATATTTCTATATTTAAAATTAAAAAAAATTAAATACCCCCTTCTCATTTTCTCATTTGAAGAATAAACTTTTCTCTTCAGAACTGTATGTATGACAGGCTTCTGTCCCAATGTGGCCATCTGTGTGCTGAGTACTATGGAATTCTGTAAAAACAAATTAAATTTCATTTTTTATTATTTTCATAGCTAAAGTATTTTGATGTGACATCAGGATATATTGAATTTGTTATTTTCGTTAAGACATTGCTTACATTTGTAAATTTACCATGTGCTCAAGATTCAGCTTTGTTCTTTCTACCTTATAGCCTCCTCCCCATGCGAACTTTATGAATTATAAATAAGTTGTAATAGTTTCCAACTCGTCAAAAACTCTACACACAATCAGAATCCTGAATGCACTGAAACTATGGGGATACTTAAATAAATAACCCTAGTGTTAATCTCCATGAAATACATAGTAGAGTTTCTGAAACTAATCTGTTTGTTAGAATTCTTCCTACATGAGCCTGCCTTCAAAATGACATACTCTTTCAAGGTAGGTTTCAAACGATACCTGGGGGCTTTAAGGAAAACGCTCTTAGAAATCAGATAGATCTGAAAAGCTCCCTTTTTCTCATGATACATAAGGAGAAGGGGAATTGAGTTGGAATTATTCCTAATAAGGTACTTTTAGAATGGAAGCAACTGTTTTACTATGGGAAATTTCTAGAATTAAAAAATCAGATGATGAGGGCTAGTCTAGAATTCTATCCTAATCCTCTAATACTGCTTTTGTTTAATTTTCTAAAAACATGGCATCCACTCACAAAGGAACCTTTAAGATTGTTATCATGAGTGCCAGTAAGGAGTAATTAGGGGGGTTATGGGGTTATCTGATAGTAGAACCCATTGTGGGAAGTAGGAATAATGGTCAGGGAAGGCCTTTCCTGAAGAATACTCATTTGATGATTTTTTTTTTTTTTGAGACAAGAGTTTTGCTGTGTTGCCCAGGCTGGAGTGCAATGGCACAATCTCGGCTCACTGCAACCTCTACCTCCTGGGTTCAAGCGATTCTCCTACTTCAGCCTCCCAAGTAGCTGAGATTATAGGCATGCACCATCATGCCCCACTAATTTTTTTTATATTTGGTAGAGACAGGGTTTCACCATATTGGTGAGGCTGGTCTCGAACTCCTGACCTCAGGTGATCCACCCACCTCCTCCTCCTAAAGTGCTGGGATTACACGCATGAGCCACTGCACCCAGCCCATTTGATGATGTTTATAGAGAAATACAGGTTTGC